>NC_000003.12:86676666-86979696 GCF_000001405.40 Homo sapiens
GCATTAGTTTGTTTAAAATGATGGCCACTAGCTGCATCAGTGTTGCTGAAAAGGACATGATTTAATTATTTTTCATGACTGTGTAGTATTTCATGGTATATATGTATCACATTTTCTTTATCCAATCCAACATTATTGGGCACCTAGATTGATTCCACATCTTTGCTCTTGTGAACAACACTGCCATGAAAACACAAGTGCATGAATTTTTGGGGTACAATGATTTATTTTCCTTTGAATACATACCCAGTAATGGGATTGCTGAGTCGAATAGTAGTTCTAAATTATTTGAGACATCCTTGCACTGCTTTTTACAGTGGCTGGACTAATTTACATTCTCAGCAACACTGTGTAAGCATTGGCTTTTCTCTGCAGCATCTCCAGCAACTGTTGTTTTTTTGACTTTTTAAGATTAACCACGCTCACCGGCATGAGATAGTATTTCATTGTGGTTTTGATTTGCATTTCTCTGGTGATTAGTCATGTTGGGCATTTTTTCATGTTTCTTGGCTTCTTGTAGGTCTTCTTTTGAAAAGTGTCTGTTCATGTCCTTTGCCCATTTTTTGTTTCTTTTCATTTTGTTTTTTTTGTTTGTTTGGTTTTTGAGATGGAGTTTTGCTCTGTCACCCAGCTGGGGTGCAGTGGCACAATCTTGGCTCACTGCAACCTCTGCATCCTGGGTTCAAGTGATTCTTCTGCCTCAGCCTCCCAAGTAGCTGGGACTACAGGTGCCCACCACCACGCCTGGCTAATTTTTGTATTTTTAGTAGAGACAGTGTTTTACCATATTGACCAGGCTGGTCTTGAACTCCTGACCTTGTGATCCACTCGCCTCAGCCTCTCAAAGTGCTGGGATTACAGGCGTGAGCCACCGCAACTTGCCCCATTTTTTAATAAGATTTTTTTTTTTTTTTTGCTTTTGATTTGTTTAAGATCCTTACAGATTCTGGATATTAAACCTTGGTCAAATATAAAGTTTGTAAATATCTTCTTCCATTTTGTAGGTTATTTTGTTATTAATTTTGCTGTGCAGAGGTTCTTTAATTAAGTCCCACTTGTAAATTTTTGGTGTTGTTGCAATTGCTTTTGGAGATTTAGCCAAAAATTCTTTCCCAAGGCCAATGTCACGAAGGATACTTCCTAGGTTTTCTTCTAGGATTTTTATAGTTTATGGTCTTACATCTAAATTTATCTTTCATCTTTAGTTAATTTCTGTATATGGTGAAAGGTAGTTGTCCAGTTTCAATCTTTGGCATATGGCTAGCCAGTTATCTCAGTGCCATTTATAGAATAGGGTGTTCTTTCCCTATTGTTTGTTTCTGTTTAGGCCTTGTTGAAGATCAGATGGGTGTGGGTGTATAGCTTTATTTGTGAGGTTTTTTTTTTTTCCTGTTTCATTGGCCTATGTGTCTGTTTTTGTACCACTATCATGCTGTTTTGGTTACTGTAGCTGCATAGTATAGTTTGAAGTTGGGTACTGTGACACCTCCAGCTTGGTTCCTTTTGCTTAGGATTGCTTTGGGTATTTGGGCTCTGTTTGGAGTCATATGAATTTTAGAATAGTTTCTTTCTAATTCTGTGAAGAATGACATTGGTAGTTTGAAAGAAATAGCATTGAATCTATAAACTGCTCTGGGTAGTATGGCCATTTTAATGGTATTGATTCATTCAATTCATGAACATGAAATTTTTTTTCATTTGTTCACTTCATCTCTGATTTCTTTCAACAGTGGCTTGTAGAGATCTTTCACCTACTTTGTTAGTTCTATTCCTATGTATTTAATTTTCTTTGTGGCTATTGTAAATAGGATTGTGTCCTTGATTTGACTCTTAGCCTGGATGTTATGTACATTGATTTTGTATCCTGAAATTTTACTAAAGTTGTATATAAGTTCTAGGAGGCTTTTGGCGAAGTCTCTTGGGTCTTCTAGGTATAAAATTATATCATTCATGAAGAGAGATAGTTTGACTTCTTCTTTCCTAATTGGATGCTTTTTATATCTTTCTTTTGCCTGATTTTTCTTGGTAGTACTTCCAGTACTATGTTGAATCAGAATGGTGAGAGTGGGCATCCTTGTTTTGTTCCAGTTCTCAAGGGGAATGTTTCCAGATTTTGCTCATTTAGTGTAATGGTGGCTATGGGTATGCTATAGACGACTCATTATTTCAAGATATGTTTCTTCAATGCCTACTTTGTTTAGGGTTTTTTAATAATCATAAACGGATGGTGGACTTTATCAAAAGGTTTTTCTATGTCTATTGAGATGATCATATGATTTTTGCTTTTAATTCTGTTCATATGGTGAGTCAGATTTATTGATTTGTGTATGTGGAACTTGCCTTGTATCCCAGGAATAAAGCCTATTTGATTGTGCTTTATTAAGTTTTTGATGTGCTGCTGGATTTGGTTTGCCAGTATTTTGTGGAGGATTTTTGTGTCTATATTCATCAGGGATATTGGCCTGAAGTTTTCTTTTCTTATTGTGTCTTTGCCAGATTTTGCTATCAGGATGATGCTGGCTTCAAAGAATGAGTTGAGTAGGAGCCTCTCTTTCTCAATGTTTTGGAGTAGTTTCAGTAGAATGTGTACCAGGCCTTCTTTGTATGTCAGGTAGAATTCATCTGTGATTCCAAATGTCCCAGGTCTTTTTTTGGTTAGTGGGTTTTTTAATCACTGATTCAATTTCAGAACTCAATATTGCTGTATTCAGTGTTTCAATGTCTTCCTGATCCAATCTTGGGATATTGTGTGTTTCAAGGAATTCATCCATTCCCTCTAGGTTTTTGAATTTCTGTGCATAGAGTTGTTCAGAGTAGTCTCTGAGGAACTTTTGTATCAGTTGTAATGTCATCTTTGCCATTTCTGATTGTACTTAATGGATCTTCTCTCTTATTTTTCTTTGTTAATCTAGCTAGCAGTCTATTAATCTAGTTTATTCTTTTGAAGAAAGTATGTTTCTTGGTTTCATTCATGTTGTGTATGGATTTTTGCATCTGAAATTCATTCAGATCATCTCTAATTTTAGTTATTTCTTTTCTTCTGCTAGCTTTGGGTTTTTTTTTCTAGTTCCTTTAGGTGCAATATTGGATTGTTAATTTGAGATCTTTCTAACTTTTTGATGAAGGTGTTTAGTGCTACAAATTTTCCTCTTAACACTGCTTTAGCTGCATCCCCAAAATTTTGTTAAGTTGCATTCCTATTTTTATTCATTTCAAATAATTTTCTGATTTCTGCTCAATTTCAGTGTTCCCCCAAAAGTTATTCAGGAGCAAGTTATTTAATTTCCATGTTTTTAAGTAGTTTGATAAATGTTCTTGATATTGATTTCTGTTTCCGTTGAACTGTAGTCCAAGAGTGTGCTTGGTATAATTTCAGTGTATTTGAATTTATTGAGACTTGCTTTATGACTGAGAATGTGGTTGATATTAGAATATGTTCCATTTGCAGATGAGAAGAATGTATATTCTGTGATTGTTGGATGAAGTGATCTGTAGATGTCTATCAGGTCCAACTGGGTAAGTGTCAAGTTTAAGAGTTTTGTTGTTAGTTATCTGCCTTGCTGATTTGTCTAACACTGTAGGTGGAGTGCTGAAGTCTTCCACTATATTGTGTGACTGTCTAAGTCTTTTCTGGTCAAGAAGAATTTGTTTTATGAATCTGGGTGCTCCATTATTGGGTGCATATATACTTAGGTTAGTTAAGTCTTGATGTTGGATTGTATCCTTTATCATTATATAATATCCTGCTTTGTTCATCTTAATTGTTACTGGTTTAAAGTTTGTTTTATTTGATACTGCTGCCACTTTTTCCTTTCTGTTGGCATGGTAAATCTTTCTCCATCACTTTACTTTGAGCCTGTGGATGTTGTTACATGTGAGATGGGTCTCTTGAAGATACCAGATGGTTGTTGGGTCTTCTCTTTTTATCCGGCTTGTCAATCTGTTTTGTTAGTGGAGCATTTAGGCGATTTACATTCAGAGTTAGTATTGACATGTGAGATTTTGATCCTGTCATTGTGTTTTTAGCTCATTGTTATGGAGGCTTGTGTAGTTGCTTTATAGTGTCTGTGGGGTATGTGTGTAAGTGTGTTTTTGTGGTTGTAGATATTATTCTTTTGATTCCATGTTTAGCATTCCCTTAAGGACTTCTTAAAGGAGAGATCCTAGGTAGAGGTCTTAGGTAAAACTGGTCTAGTTGAAATGAATTTCCTCTGTGTTTGCGTGTCTAAGAAGTATTTTATTTATCTTTCAGATATGAAGCCTGGTTTTGCAGAAAATGAAATTCTTGGTTCGAATTTCTTTTCTTAACAACACTGAAAATAGGCCTCTAATGTCTTACTAGACATTAGAGGTAAAGTTTCTGCCGAGATGTCTGCTTCTATCCTGATAGACATCACTCTATATATGATCTGACTCTTCTCTTCTCTTTAGCTGCCTTTAAGATTATTTATTTTGCATTGACCCTGGCTAATCTGATGTCTTGGGGATTGTTGTCTTGTATAGTACCTAGTTGGGGTCCTCTGTATTTCTTGAATTTGCATGTCACCCTTTCTAGTGAAATTAAGGACATTTTCCTGAACAATATTATCAAATATGTTTTTCAAGCTGCTTATTCTCTCTCCTGTCTGAGGGATGTCAATGAGTCCTACACGTGGTTCCTGTACATGATCCCATATTTTTCAGATGTTCTGTTTCATTTTAAAATTCTTTTTGCTTTATTATTGTCTAATATTATCTGAAGGTTTCGTCTTTAAGCTCTGAGATTCTTTCTTCAGTTTGGTGTATTCTGCTGTTAATACTTCCAATTGTATAATGAAATGCTTATAGTAGATATTTTAGCTGTAGAAGTTCAGTTTTGTTCTTGTTTGTTTGTTTGTTTGAGACAGGGTCTCTCTCTGTTGCCCAGGCTGGTGTGCTGTGGCATGACAATAGCTCACTACAGCCTCAACTTCCTGGGCTCAAGTGATTCATCCACCTTAGTCTCCTGGGTAGGTGGGACCACAGGCACATGCCACCACACCCATCTAGTTTTTACAAAATTTTCTGCAGAGAGGGAGTCTCACAATATTTCCCAGGATGGTCTCAAACTCTTGGGCTCAGGAGATCCTTTTGCCTCAGCCTCTTAAAGTGGTGGGATTACAAGCATGAGCCATTTCACTCTTAGTTTGGTTCTTCTTAAAATGGCAGTTTCAACATTCAGCTCTTGGATTATTTTACTGGATTTCTTGGATTGGGTTTCAACTTTCTCCTGAATATTGATATACTTCTTTTCCATCCAGATTCCAGACAGAATTCAATGCCTGTCGTTTTCATTATTTCAGACTGGTTAAGAATCATTGCTGGGGACATAGTGAACTTGTTTGAAAGTAAGAGGACACTCTGGGTTTTTTAATTTCCAGAGTTCTTGAGGTGATTCTGTCTCACCTGGGAAGGATGTTATTTCTTTAACTGGGCTGTAAGTTGGGTAAAGTCAGTTAAAGTCCTTCTGGATGTTTTCAACTGGCCAAGGCTCTGTACAAGGTTTTTATTTGTGATTGAATTATTGCCCTTGTTTTCGCAGGGGGTGATATAAGCAAAATATTTTTAGTGTTGGACCTTAGGCTGCAATCCAGTAGATGGCACTTAGGAGTAATGGGTGGTTGATATGCTCTTACCCGCCTACATGACTTCTTTGTATTTCCTCATGTTTGCAGTTGTGCTGTGAAGTTCACAAGAGAGAGAGGTGACCCCCTCACAGGTCTACTCCTGGGCCTTGGGTGAGGTCCCTCCAATCACTAGCAATGTTCCTGCAATTCTTTTGGTAGGTGTTCAAGGCCACAGGGTTCCCTCAGGCAGAGGCTGCAGCAGGGAGATAGGGCATATCCTTTCTAGACCATCCCTGTGGAGGGAGGCATGCCCCATTCCTATGCCAGCCAACAAGCCTATGCATCTCACTCCTCTCAGAGCTCTGAGAATGTGGGCTGATCCTTTGCTTGGGTGCTGGCTGCAGATCTTGGCTTAGCACTCCTGACCTGTTCACTGCAGCCCTGGAGCACCAAGACTGGCTTGCAGTTCCACCATCTAGACTCTCAGGGTTAGGTTCCAGGTAAACTGTGGGATCTGAAATTTTCCCAGGCCACCAAAAATGTATTCAGGTAAAAGAGTTCACCCAAGCTGGGCAGCAGAGGCTGCCCTGTCTACATACTCCTGAGGGGAGACATACAGGGACCCTGGGAGGGACTGCTGAGCAGGAGGGTCTGCAGAACAAATGTGCTTCAGTCTCATGGAGGAATTAGGCCCACTTCCTCCTGGCTTAGTGATTAGTTGGGGCTAGAGCTTCTTAGAGGGAAATGAGGAAATGAGTGCTTTTGGATACAAAGGCCCCTGGCTCCACACCAGTTGAAGCCCTGTCTCTGTCTGCTCTCCTAGAAGATCCTCCTGCCAGATCAAATGTCCACTGGGGTTGTGCACTCACCTCTAGCTAGATTCCCAGAGATCCTTGGCAACAGTGGAAAGCCCCACGATTCATTCATTCACCCCTTCCTTATGAACCATTTGGATCTTGGAACCAGTCCTAGTGTTTGGGTACCCCATGGAGGGTTGCTAGCTTCCTCCTTCTTCAGCCTCAGTGTCTGTGCTGTGTCTCCATCCCTCTCTTGCCAATTTCTCTCTGAAGATCTATTCAAATTATGTTGGTTTATTCAAATTTTTGCTCTCTCTTTGTTGGAGCAGTACTTCCTGTCTGTGTCTAGTCATAGCCATCTTGTCCCTCCTTCTATGTTTTATGTTATAATTAGTCAAATTTATCAGTGAAGCCAGTTGATCATAACATTTTACCTGTGAAAACGCTTTTAGTTAGACATTTCAATTTTTTCATAGATCCAAGATAATTTTTAAATTATCTTCTGTATCATTTGAGTAAGTTGAGTTTTTCTAAGAATGCTTTTTCACTACTGTGTAGCATCAAGTTGCTCATTATGTCTCTTTATTATATTATTAACATTTAGACTATATATAGTAATGTTCCTGTTTTTAATTCCTAATATTGATTTTGTATTTTTTAAATTCTTAATCAGTCTTAACAAAATTTTATAAATCCATTGTGTATCAGAGAAGCAGTTTTTACTGATTTTGATTCTTTCTGCTATGCTCTGATTGTTGTTATTTTTTTATCAGTCACTATTGTAAACTTTATTTTCATTTCTATCTTTCCACTTGGTTTACTTTTCTCTTTTTAAATTACTGTCTTTCTATATTTTAATTCTATATTTTTCTGTATTTTCATTCTGTTTGTGTATTATTTTATCTTGAAATAATTATTGATTTACACAAAACTTTGGGAAATAATAGAGGGAGGTTTCCTGTACCCGTTACTCAGTTTATACCAGTGCTAACATCTAACATAACAATAGTAAAATATTACTATTAGAAAATTGACATTGGTATAGTACACCAACTTTATTAGTATTTTCTCAAATTTACTTGCATGCATATACACATTTAGTTCTACACAAATTTGTTACATGTAAAATCTATATAACCGCCTGAGTTAAGATAGAGAACTGTACAATCTTCACAAGGATTCTTTTTGATAGCCATATCAATCTTTGCCTCTATCCCTTGGTCCTTAGTTCCTGGAAACCAGTAATTTTCTTAGCATCTCTATAATTTTGTCAGTTCAAGAATGTTATATAAATGGAATTACACCGTACGTAACTTTTTAAAATGGACTTCTGTCACTTGGTGCAATGCCTTTGAGATTTATCAGGTCATTTTATATATTAATAGTCCTCTCCTTTCTATTACTAGTATTCTGTAGTATGGATGTAGCAGAGTTGATTAATCATTCACCCACTGAAGGACATTTGAATTGTTTCCAGTGTGGTGCTTTTATAATAAAACTACAATGAACATTTAAACTACTTTAAAACATGGGTTTTAAAGTAAACATAAGTTTTCATTTTCCTGGAAAAAATACTTATTATGAACTGAATGTTTGTGTCCTCTCAAAGTTCTTATTATGACGTGGAGCATTTGAGAAGTAATCATGTTTAGATCACGTCATGAGAGTGGATACCTCATGATAGAATCAGTTCCCTTATACGAACAGACAACAAAGCACTTGCTTTCTCTGTTTCTGCCATGTGAAGATACAGCAAGAAGCTGGTCATCAGTAAGCCAGGAAGAGAGCCCCACCAGGGATCTGAAGCAGCTGGCATCTTGATCGTGGATTTCACAGACCTCAGAACAATAAGATATAAATCCTTTTGTTTAAGCCACCAAGTCTCTGATATTTTGTTATGGCAGCCTAAGCTGACTGAAATAATGCCAAAAGTTGCAAAAATGCAACTGCTATGTCATATGGTAAGCTGTAAAAGAACCCTAACCTCAACCTCACACTCTATACAAAAATTAACTGAAAATTCATCATAGACTTAAATTTAAAAATGTTAAAGTACATATCTTTTTTAGGAAAACTATAGAGAAAATCTTTGGGAACTAAGATTTAGTGAAGAAATCTTGAACGTAACACCAAAAGAATGATTCTTAAAATTAGGCTGGAAGTGGTGGCTCACGCTTGTAATCCCAGCACTTTGGGAGTCCAAGGCAGGCGGATCACGAGGTCAGGAGATTGAGACCATCCTGGCTAACACAGTGAAACCCCGTCTATACTAAAAATACAGAAACATTAGCCAGGCATGGTGGCGGGCGCCCGTAGTCCCAGCTACTCAGGAGGCTGAGGCAGGAGAATGGCGTGAACCTAGGAGGCAGAGCTTTCAGTGAGCCAAGATCGCACCACTGCACTCCAGCCTGGGTGACAGAGCAAGACTCCATCTCAAAAAAAAAAAAGAAAAAGAAAAAGAAAAGGAAAATTTGGACCCTATCTAAACTAAAAATTTTTCTTCTGCAAAAGCCTTGCCAAGAACAACAAGGTACAGACTAGGCAAAAATATGTAAAAAACACATAATTGGCAAAGGACTTGTATTTGTAATTTATTAAAGCATTATCAAAATTCAACAATAATCAAGCCAATTAGAAAACAAATTACAGAAACAGATATTTTAGTGGAAAAGTTATAAAAGTGGCAACAAAAACACACGTGAAAAGATATTTAATAGCATTTACCATTAGGTAAATAAAATGTAAACCACAATGAGATACTACTGGATACCTATCAGAATGACAAAAGTAGAAAACAGGGATGACATCAAATGTTGACAAGGATGCAGAGAAACAGTATCGCTTATACACTAATGGAGGAAACAAAGTGGTACTCTTTAAAGTGCCACTCTTGAAAATAGTTTGGAGGCTTCTTATTCTATAGATTTTAAACAACACGAGATATTAATATTATCCTTTAGGGCTTCACATTCAGTTAATATCAATTTGTATTTACTCTTCTATTTACATTTTCAGTTACTTTTCATTTGTTTCTACAAATTTTGTTTTTTGTATGGAATAATTTTCCTTCTGCCTAGAGACTTCATTTAGTATTCCTTAGTGCCTGTCAGCTGGTGAAAATTTCTCTCATATTTTGAATTTATTTTCTTTAAATATATTTACTATCTTAATTTATTGAAGTTATTTTAAGCTGGGTGCAGTGGCTTATGCTGACAATCCCAGCACTTTGGGAGGCCGAGGCAGGTGGATCACGAGGTCAGGAGTTCAAGATCAACCTGTCCAAGACGGTGAAACCCCGTCTCTACTAAACACACACACACACACACACACACACACACACACAAATTAGCTGGGCATGGTGGCAGGTGCCTGTAATCCCAGCTACTTGGGAAGCTGAGGCAGGGGACTTGCTTGAACCTGGGCAGCAGAGGTTGCAGTGAGCCGAGAGAGCCACTGCACTCCAGCCTGGGTGATGGAGTGAGACTCTGTCAAAAAAAAAAAAAAAAAAAAGCTATGTTAAAGGACGTAGAGTCCTGTATTGGTAGTTGCTTTCTTTTATACTACTTTAAGTATCAAATCAGCTTTTAAAAACTATTTATTAGACAATTTCAGAAAATTCTCAGTCTCTCTAGCTCCCAGACAACATTTTTAGACACAGTCTGGGCCAGAAGGAAACCCATTGCCTTGAAGGAATGGACCCAGTCCTGCTAGCATTTATCACCTGCTAACCTGAATAGCCCTTGGGCCCTGAATAATATCAGCGATACCCAGGTACTGCATTAAGGGCTTTGGTGAGCTTCTGAGACTTTCTGGCTTCAGAAAAGAGTCAGAACATTACCATCCATGGTGGCTATGGGGCAAAATTCCTTCTGCTTGAGAAGAGCAGAGGGAAAAGTAAAAGGGACTTTGTGTTGCGCTTTGGGGGCCAACAACACTGCCACAAGAGGGTATCACACCAAGCAGGCTCTTGGGGTTCTCAGTTTCAAGACTTGATACTTGGATGGCATTTCTGGACCTGCTATGGACCAGAGGGAAGCCCAGTACCCTGAAGGGTGAGTCCCAGGCCAGTCATCATTCCCTACAAGCTGACATAAGAGAGGCCTTGGGCCTTAAGGGAACATGGATGCAGTTTGGCAATACACCTCATGGCCAGGGATGGCAGTGGATATGGGGTAAGGCTTCTTTGCCTTTGGAAAGGGAGGGAAGAGTAGGAAGAACTGCATCTTCTGGTTTGAGTGTCAGCTCAGCTGCAATACAATAGAACACCAGGTAGGTTTTTGACTATAGTCCCTGACTCCTGAACAACACTTCTGGACCAACCTGAGGCCTGGGGGACCTCGCTGCCTTGAAGGGAAGAACATCGGCTCGGTTGGCTTTGCCACCTGGGGCTGATAGTAGAGCCCCAGGGCCTTCAGCAAACATGGGAAGTAGCCAGGGAGTGGTTACAGTAGGCCTTGGGTGAGACCCAGGGCTGTACTGACTTTGGATCTGACCCAGTGCAGTAATAGTGATGATGACCACAGGGGTTCTCATGCCCCTCCATCCCCAGCTTTAGGTGACTTAGAACAGAGACAGAGACTGTATGTTTGGGAGCAAGTAAGGAAAGAGAACAAGAGTATCTTCCTGGTAATCCAGAGAATTCTCCTGGGTCTTGTCCATGACCTTCAAGGAGGTGCCTCTATGAGTTTGCAAGAACCACGGCATTACTGGACTTTGGCTGCCCTCTAAAGCAGAAATAGCTTAGATCACAACACCCAAGTCATTTCAAATATCTGGAAAGCCTTCAAAAGAAGGATGGCTACAAATAAGGCCATACAGAGACGACTACAATAAACACCTAACTCTTCAATGGTCAGACACTGAAGAACATGTACTAATATCAACACCATTGATGAAAAAATAACCTCAAAAAATGAACTAAATAAGACATCAGGGACCAATCTGGAGAAACAGAGATATGTGACCTTTTTGGCAGATAATTCAAAATAGCTGCATTGAGGAAACTCAAGCAAATTCAAGATAACACAAAGGAGGAATTCAGAATTCTATAAGATAAATTTAACAAATAGATGGAAATAAATTTTAAAAAGTAAACCAGAAATTCTGGAGCTGAAATGCAATTGGCATACTGTAGAATGCATCAGAGTTCTTTAATTGCAGAATGGATCAAGCAAAAGAAAGAATGAGTGAGCTTGAGCTTGAAGACAGGCTATTAGAAAACACACAGTCAGAGGAGACAAAAGAAAAAGAATAAAAAGCAATTAAGTATGCCTACGGGATTTAGAAAATAGCTCCAAATGGGCAAATCTAAGAGTTATTGGCCTTAAAGAGTAGGTAGAGAAAGAGATAGATTTAGAAAGTTTATTCAAAAAGATAAAAAAGAACTTCCCAAACCTAGAGAAGGATATCAATATCCAAGTACAAGAAGGTTATAGAACAACAAGCAGATTTAACACAAAGAAGACTACCTCAAAATCCCAAAGATCAAGGATAAAGAAAGGACCCTAAAAGCAGCAAGAGAAAAGAAACAAATTACATAATGGAGCTGCAATATGTCTGGCAGCAGACTTTTCAGTGGAAACCTTACAGGCCAGGAGAGAGTGGCATGACACATTTAAAGTGCTGAAGAAATAAAGTTTTACCCTGGAATAGTATATCCAGTGAACATATCTTTCAAACATGAAGGAGAAATAAAGACTCTCCCAGACAAACAAAAGCTGAGGGATTTCATCAATACCAGACCAGTCCTACAAGAAATGCTAAAGGGAGTACTTTGATCAGAAAGAAAAGGAAGGAAGAGAAGACCACAAAACAACCAGAAAACAAATAATAAAACAGCAAGAGTAAGTTCTTTTACTTATCATTAATAACTGATTGTAAGTGGACTAGAGTCTCTAACCAAGAGACATAGACTAGCTGAATGGATAAAATAACAAGACTCATTGATCTTTTGCCCACAAGAAATACACTTCAACTATAAAGACACATATAGACTGAAAATGCAGGGATTGAGAAAGGTATTCCATGCCAATGAAAACCAAAAAAGAGCAGGAGTCACTATACTTAGACAAAAGAGAGTACAAGACAAAAACAATAAGAAGAGATGAAGAAGGTCACTACATAGTGGTAAAGGGTCAATTCAGCAAAAAGATATAACAATTTTAAATATATATGCACCCAAGACAGGAGCACGCAGATATATAGGAAACATTATTGGAGCTAAAGAGAGAAAGGTCCCAATACAATAATAGCTGGAGACTTCAACACCCCACTTTCACCATTGGACAGAACTTCCAGAAAGAATCAACAAAGAAATGTTGGACTTCATCTGCAGTATAGACCAAACAGATCTAATAGATATTTACAGAACATTTATCCAAGAGCTGCAAAATACACATTATTTTTCTCAGCATGTGGATTATTCTCAAGGAGACACTATATGTTAGGTCACAAAGTAAGTCTTAAGACTTTCAAATAAATTGAAATAATATCAAGCATCTTCTCTGACAAAAATGGAACAAAACTAGAAATTCTTAAAAGAGGAATTTAGGATAATATATAAATACATGAAAATTAAACAATATGCTCCTGAATGTCCAGTGGGTCAATGAAAATATTAATAAGTAAATTGAAAAATTTCTTGAAGCAAATAATAATGGAAACATAACATATCAAAATGTATGGGATACAGCAAAAGCAGTAATAAGAGGAAAATTTATAAGTATAAGTGCTTACCTCAAAAAAGAGGAAAATTTTCAAATAAACAATGTAAGGATGCATCTAAAAAATATAGAAAAGCAAGAACAAACCAAGCTCAAAATTGGTAGAAGAAAAGAAATAATAAAGATCAGAGGTGAAAGAAATGAAATTGACATGAAAAGAAAATACAAAAGATTAATGAAACAAAAAGTTGGTTTTTGAAAAGTTAAACAAAAGTGGCAAACTTTTAGCCAGACTAAGAAAAAAAGTGAGAAGATCCAAATAAACAAAATCAGGAAAAAGGAGACATTGCAAATGTTACTGCAGAAATTCAAGGATTATTAGGGGCTACTGTGAGCAACTATATGCCAAAAAATTGGAAAATCTAGAAGAAATGGACAAATTCCTAGATATATACAACCTACCAAGGTTGAATCAGGAAAAAAATAATCCAACACCTGAACAGACCAGTAACAAGTAATGTGCTCAAAGCTATGATAAAAAGTCTTCCACTAAAGAAAAGCCCGGGACCTGATGGCTTCATTGCTATATTCTACCAAACATTTAAAAAATATCTAATACTAATACAATTCAAACTATTCCAAAAAATAGAGGAGGAGGGAATACTTCCAAACTCATTTTATGAGGCCCATATTACCCTGATACTAAAACCAGACAAAGACACATGAATGAAAGAAATCTACAGGGCAGTAACACTGATGAATATTGATGCAGAAATCCTCAACAAAGTACTAGCAAACAAAATTAAACAATGTATTAGAAAGATGATCCACCATGAGCAAGTGGGATTTATCTCTGGGATGCAAGGGTGATTAAACATGCACAAATCAATCAACATGATACATCATATCAACAGAATGAGGGATAAAAACCATATGATGCATCTAAAATATCTAGAAAAGCAAAAGCAAAGCTCAAAATCAATTATACACCATATCAACAGAATAAAGGAAAAAAACCATGTGATCATTTTAATTGATGATGAAAAAGTATTTGATAAACTTCAACATAACTTCATGAAAAAACCCTCAAGAAACTGGGGATAGAAGGAACATACCTCAACATAATGAAAGCCATATACAACAGACCCACCAGTAGTACCATAATGAATGATTACAAACTTAAAAAGCCTTTTCTCTAAGATCTGGAACATGACAAGGATGCCCACTGCCATCAATGTTACTCAACATACTACTGGAAGTTCTAGCTGGAACAATCAGAAAAGAGAATGAAATAAAGGGCATCCAAATTGGAAAGAAAAAAGTCAAATTATCCTTGCTTGCAGATGATATGATCTTATATTTAGAAAAACCTAAGACTCCACAAGAAAAACTATAAGAATTGATAGACAAATTCAGTAAAGTTTATGGATGCAAAATCAACATACAAAAATCAGTACCATTTCTATATGTTAACAATAAACAACGCGAAAAAGAAATAAAAAAGTAATCCCATTTACAATGGCCATACATAAAACTAAATAGCTAGGAATTGACCAAAGAAGTGAAAGATCTCTATAATGGAAAGTATAGAAAACTAATAAGGGAAACTGAAGAGGGAGCCAAAAATTGAAAAGTATTTTATATTCATGGATTGGAAGAATTAACATTGTTAAAATGTTCATAATACCCAAAGCAATCTTTGGGATTCGATGCAATGTCTATCAAAATATCAATGGCATTCTTTAGAAAAATAGAAAAATAATCCTAAAATGTATATGGAACCTCAAAAGACCCGGAATAATCAAAGATATCCTAAGCAAAAAGAACAAAACTTGAAGAATTGTAATGGTAAAGGTTCTTGCATTAGCCACGCCAAAGAATTGGTGTGGCGGCTGCTTGGGGTGAGTGATGGAGACACAGACTAACAGAAAAAAAGCTGTAGGCTTTATTGAGCAGAGTGACAGTACAAAAATTCTACAGCGTGGAAGGGATCCTGAGCAGGTGGACACTGTTGGTTTTGGGTGATTGCCTTTTAAACTCTTTAAGGTGGAACTACGTGCAGCGGGAAGATGTTACTAGAGCGAGAAACAAAGGCAGTAAATTATTTTGTGATATGTCTTAGATTTTGAGGAAAACTGGAATGGCAAATTAGGTTTTATTTACTTTATGACTTTGCAGCAGCATGGCAAAGGAGACAGGATCTTACAGAACTTTACGAAGTATGTTTACAAGGAATTGGAATCAGGAGCATAGATAAGTTCTGCTGGTCACAGAGAAATGGGCATTTAACATTCTTTTTAGTTTCAGGGGAGAGGGAAGGGAGAAAGGGAGAGAGGACACAGGGATGCTTAGAGCAAAATATTCGCTGTTTATAGCTTTCTTGGGGAAGAAAACACACGCACAAATCCTGGTGTTAGGAAAATTTTAAGCATATATCTTTAATATTATTTATCCAGAACCAAAGGAAATCCTGATGCAGGAAATGAGTGAGTTTCACTGCTTTCTGAGCCCCAGGAAGCCTGGCTAGCACCTCCTCTCAGTGCCCCCTCTAAACAGAACACGTTAACCGCTGTTGGGAACTGGGTGGCGGTCGTTCTGGCTACTTCCTGCTGGTTAGGGGCGAAGAAGGGGACTTGCAGTTGTGATGTCTTTCAGAGGGCAACTTTCTAGGCTAGTGAAGGACCATCGGGTCAATCCAGGGGTCCTCAGTAGAAGCCGTGAGTTGAGCTCATTTGAGGTTCCATTTGTAAGACTATTTGTAGCTTGATGGCCTCGATCTTGGAGGAAACAAATTTGACAAGGAGGTTAAAAATGCAAGGCCTAAAGGCAAGTAATAGTAGGATGGCTATTACAGGGCCTAGAAAGGGAGGAGCTAAGGTATCTATTGGTTCAACATATTCTAGGGTCTTGAGTGTTTAAGCTCCTTTTTTTTTTACTTTCTATCCGTTTTCTTATTTCTTTGACCTTTTTAGTAATGATTTCTGATTGGTTAATGAAATAGCAATGTGGACTGGGAGTTAGAGTGCAGGGGAGTGCAGAAGAAGGCATCTTTGAGGTCTAAAACAGTGAACTACTTTGCTTTTTTTGATATCTGAGAGAGTAGTATATAGAGGTTGGGTACAGCAGGATTTAAAGGAATTACTGCCTTATTGATGATTCTGAGGTCTTGCACTAGTCTCTACTATTTGGTTTTTGGATTCTTAGGATTGGGGTGTTGCAAGAACCGCTAGATTTTTTTACTAAGCCTTGAGCTTTTAAATGTCTAACAATATCTTGTAATCCTTCGTGAGCTTCAGGCCTTAAGGGATATTGCCTTTGATAAGGAAAAGTGCTGAGGTCTTTTAGCCTGATTTGAACTGGATGGGCATTCTTTGCCTTTCTAAATTGTCCTTTTAAGGCCTAGACTTCAGGGTTGATTCTTTTTTTAAGTAGGGGACAATAGATGGGTAATTTATTCTTTATATTTATGTAGCTAATAGCCTCAGCTTTGGCTAATATGTTCTTTCTTAATAAGGATGTGGGACTTTCGGGAATAACAAGAAAGGCACATGAAAGGAGCAAAGTCTCTTAATTGCAGCTGAGGAGGCAAGAGAAACACCTAGTTACAGGCTGTCTTAAGAGTCCTCGGATAGTAACGGACTTTGAGGACAGTCGTTTGGGGCAGGAGATTAAAACTGAGAAGGCCTTGCTAGTGTTCAGGAGGAAGTCCGCTTCCTGGCCTTTAATGGTCAAACTTACCTGGGTCTCTGTGGGGATGATGGCATGAACTGGAGCTTGCCTTGGGCACCTTTAATCCTGTTGCTGAATCATCTGATTGGGTGCTTCTGGCTTAGAGGGCCTTTGTCTTTTGGGGCGGTGCACCTTCTAGTGATTACCTTGGCACACTGGACGTGGGCGAGCGGGCAGTTTGTTTCTGGTTGGACAACCTTTCTTAAAGTCTCCTTGCAAACTGCACTGATAATAAGTCTTACTAGCCAATTGGCCTGCCCCTCTCTTGGTTCCCTCTGAGCCACCAAGGTCTGCCTGTCTGAGGGCCATGACTAAGGCTGCAGCCTTTCTCTTATCTCGCTTTTCCTTTTTGGCCTATTCTTCTTGGTCCTTATAGAACACCGAGGTTGCCAGGTTTAATAATGTCTCCAAATTTTGTTCTGGGCTTAAAGCAGACTTTTCTCCTAATGTCAGCTGCTGATTGGGTGATAAATTTATTCTTTAAAATAAGCTGGCCTTTTACAGAATCTGGAGTTAGGGAGGTGTACTTTCTTAGGGCCTCCTTTAGCCATCCTAGAAAAGTGGAGGGGTTTTCTTTTTTCCTTGCATAATTGTGGATAGCTTTGAGTAGTTCATAGGGTTTTTCTTAGTCTTTCTCAACCTTTCTAAAATGCAAGTTAGCAAATGCCTGAGGCTCTAATCTCTATGATCTGAGTCAGTATCCTAATGAGCGTCTATAGTGGGGACTGCCTGTTGCCCTGTGGGGAGTTTTTCCGTTTCTTCTAGGGCCATTAGATTGTTTACCTGGCTAAGGTGCTACAGATCTTTAAATTGTTGGGCTGCTGCTAAAGCTGCGTTTTTTTTTTTTTTTTTAGTAGGACTTAAGGTCTGATCACGAAGTAACATGATATCGCTCTATGTTAGATTAAAGGACTGCCTTAATCCTTGCAGGACAGCTATATAGTTATCAGGATCATCTGAGAATTTCTTTAAATCTGCCTTTATTTGTTTTAAATCTGAGAGTGAGAAGGGGGCATGCACTTGAATGGGCTTAAATTCTCCTCCTACTGTTCATAAGGAACATACTTTGGGTGCCTGGCTTGTGGAGTTTGTGTTTTCTTTCCGGTGTGCCTTTAACACTTTGGTGGGGCCGCATGGAGAAGAGTCAGTGGGGGAGGAGAGTGGGGCTGAGGGAAGAGGCCGTGAGTATGGAGGCAACTGTGGGCCTCTGCCATTTGGGCAAAACTTGCAGGCTTGGCACAGGGCAGTATTGTTACGAAGGGTAAAGAAAGCTTGTACATAAGGGACTTTACTCTATTTACCTTTCTGTTTACAGAAAAGATCTAGTTGTAGAAGGGTGTTATAATTAATACTTCCTTTAGAGGGCAAGTTTCTCTATTTTGTAAGGAATACTGTGGCCAGGCAGTGATACGGAAGAAAATCAGCCACTTTTTTTTTGAAGGTTTCAGGGTCAAATTTGTCCCAGTTATTCAGGATACATCTTAAAGGAGTGTCTGGTTTTGAAGGTGTGGTGCCTATCTGGAATTTTAAACACAGGGATGCCCACACCCCTGGTTGGTCCTGGGACTTGTTTTCCTCTAGGGCGTAGGGTCAGGTCTAATTGTGCTCAAAGCTCATGGCCGCTTTTCCTGAGCTCTCCATCTACCGGATTTAACCATGCTTACCAGTGGGATGAAAACTTCCCTTGCCCCTGCCATGTGCCTATTGACCACTAAACGGGGCACAAGGACTGTTGGATTTATTGTAGTCCTATTACTAATGCATCCTACCTGTTCCAGGGTGGCAAGGCCTGGGTTGGGGGCACCACTGATGCTTGCATACTAAGGCTTAATTTACGTGGGCCTGGCCATAAAACTGTCCTTCACGGAGAAATCTCTGAATTAGCGACAGGAGACATAGTAAACTTAAAGGGGGTGGTGGGTGTCCTCTAGGCCAGGGCTGAGAGAACAGCTGCTGTACTCTAGCCTTTTGTCCTCACTTGCCATTAAAGGAGTAAGCCCCTCTCTCAAGGCAGTACTAGTATCCCGTGTCCTAACTGACTATATTCTCTTCCTTCCAATACTAATTACTGAATGATTGAAACAACAATTTAATGGCTCTAAGAGCTGTACTTATGCACCACAGATTGTACTTGAGAGGCCCCAAGGAAGGGGAAAGTCTATCTGGGGAGCAACGGAGGAAATGCCTTAAGGATTCTACTATCCACTAGAAAATTACAGACCTGTCTTTGAATTGTCCTGATGTAGGGGACCATAAACTATGGTGGGTAACTGGCCCTTCAAAATAGCCATCAAATGGCAACACTTGCCTAAACCTTGGAGGGCATTGTAAACAGGGATCTTCTGGGTGTCACCTCAAGAATTTAAGACTTCTAAACAGGGAATATTGATCCCGCCTAAAGGGAAGAATCTTATCAGATGAGAAAAGAACTCTAGCTGGCGGACATTAGGACCTAGGAGGCAGAGGTCAGAAGATGTGGCAGTCTTACGCTCAGCAACCCCTGCAGGGGGAGCCTCTGGTGGGGCCATGGTCTCAACCAGGATCTCTGGGAGACTAAGACATCCGGTGAGCACTGCGGGGTGTACTTCAGGACCACCATGGAAAGTGAAAGAGTTAGAACTGAGTCCAGGCTAACTAATGCTCCTAACCCTGAAGGGTAGGGGGTTGTTAGAGAGCCCTTTTCCAGACAGCCTGACACCTGTGTCTTTAGTCCGGCAGCCTCGTTAATCGCCTTTAAGTGGCCCTAATACAGGTGCCTGGTATTTAGCCTCTGAATTCTAAGGAAGGACAGGACAGAATAGCAAGCCAAAGAGGTCCGATCATACTCACCGTGTGACAACCTAGATACCTTTCCTGGATCTCCTGGCTGGCTTGCCAAAACGTAGCACTAAAGGTTCTTGCCTTAGCCATGCCAAAGAATTGGTGTGGCGGCTGCTTGGGGCGAGTGATGGAGACACAGACTAAGAGAAAAAAAAGCTGCAGGCTTTATTGAACAGAGTGACAGCACAAAGCTTCTACAGCGTGGACGGGGTCTTTAGTGGGTAGCCATTGTTGGTTTTGGGTGATTGCCTTTTAAACTCTTTAAGGCGGAAAATACATGCGGCAGGAAGATGTTACTAGAGCGAGAAACAAAGGCTGTAAATTATTTTGTGACATGTCTTAGATTTTGAGGAAAACTGGAATTGCAACTTAGGTTTTATCTACTTTATGACCTTGCAGCGGCATGGCAAAGGAGACAGGATCTCACGGGACTTTACAAAGTATGTTTAAAACGAATTGGAATCGGGAGCATAGATAAGGTCCGCTGGAAAAACGGGCATTTAACATTCTTTTTAGTTTCAGGGGAGGGGGAAGGGAGAGAGGGAGAGAGGACACAGGGAAACTTACAGCAAAATTTTCGCTGTTTATAGCTTTCCTGAGAAAGAAAACACATGCACAAATCCTAGTGTTAGGAATATTTTAAGCATATATCTTTAATAATATTTATCCAGGACCGAAAGAAGTCCTGATGCAAGAAATAAGTAAGTTTCACAGCTTTCTAAGCCCCTACTCAACCCAGGAAGCCAGGCTAGCACCTCCTCTCAGAATCACATTCTGGAACAGTACAGAGAACCTAGAAACAAATGCACACACTTACAGTGAACTCATTTCTGCCAAAGGTGCCAAGAACATAAGCTAGTGAAAGGACAGGCTCTTCAATAAATGGTGCTGAAAAAACTGATAGCCATATACGAAAGAATGACACTAGACCCCAGTCTCTCACTATCTACAAAAAATCAAATCAAAATGGATTAAAGACTTAAATCTAAGACCTCAAACTATGAAACTTCTACAAGAAAGCATTGAAGAAACTCTCTAGCACATTGGTCTGGACAAGGACTTCTTGAGCAATTGCCCAAGCACAGGCAACCAAAACAAGAATAGGCAAATGGGATCACATAAAAAAATGACTGTATAGCAAAGGATACAATCAACAAAGTAAAGAGACAATGCACAGAATGGGAGAAGGTATTTGCAAACTACCCATCTGACAAGGGATTAATAACCGAATGTATAAGGAGCTTAAACAACTCTATAGGAAAAAATCTAATTATCCAATTAAAAAATGGGCAAAAGATTTGAATCGACATTTCTCAAAATAAGACATAAAAATGGCAAAGAGGCATATGAAAAGGTGCTCAACATTACTGGATCATCTGAGAAATGCAAATCAAACACAATGAGATATTACCTCACCCTTGTTAAAATGGCTTATATCCAAAAGACAGGCAATAACAAATGCAGGCGAGGATGTGGAGAAAATGGAATCCTGTACATTGTTGGTGGAAATATAACTAGTACAACCACTAGGGAGGACAGTTTGGAGGTTCCTCAAAACACTAAAAATTAAGCTCCCATATGATTCAGCAATCCCACTCCTGGGTATATATCCCAAAGAAAGGAAATCAGTATATCAAAGAGATAACTGCACTGCTGTTTGCTGCAGCACTGTTTACAATGGCCAGGGTTTGAAAGCAGCGCACGTGTCCATCAACAGTTGAATGAATCAAGAAAATGTAGTACATGTACACACAATGGAGTACTGTTTAGTCATAAAAAAGAATGAGATCCAGCCATTTGCAACAACAGGGATGGAACTGGAGATGTTAAGTGAAGTAAACCAGGCACAGAAAGACAAACCCATGCTCTCACTCACTTGTGGGATATAAAAATCACAACAATTCAACTCATGTACATATTAATAGAGTGTAAAAGAACAGTTACCAGAGGCTGGGGAAAGTAGTAGGGGGTTGGAGGGGAAGTGGGGATGGTTAAAGGGTACCAAAAAAAAAAAAAGTTAGAAAGAATGAATGAGACCTGCTATTCGATAGCACAATAGGGTGAATATAATCAATAATAGCTTAATTGTACATTCTAAAATAAAGAGTGTAATTGGATTGTTTGTAACTCAAAGGGCATATGCTGGGGGGGGGATGGATACCGCACTCTCCATATATGTTTATTTCACATTGCTTGTCTGTACCAAAACATCTCATATACACCGTAAATATATACATCTATGTACCCACATACATTTTAAAAAGCAATTTAATTAAAAAAATAATAATTCTCAGTCTTTTCTTTAAATATTGCCTGCTTCTCTCCCAGTCCTCCCTTCTAGGACTCCATTTGCATATGTGTTAAATATTTTCACCCATATGCTGCATATACTCTTTTTTTTGTTTGTTTTTTCTTTTTTTGAGACGGAGTCTTGCTCTGTCGTCCAGGTTGGAGTGCAGTGGCGCGATCTCAGCTCACTGCAACCTCCGCCTCCCGGGTTCATGCCATTCTCCTGCCTCAGCCTCCTGAGTAGCTGGGACTACAGGCGCCTGTCACCACACCTGGCTAATTTTTTGTATTTTTTAGTAGAGACGGGGTTTCACCATGTTAGCCAGGATGGTCTCGATCTCCTAACCTCGTGATCCACCCGCCTCGGCCTCCCAAAGTTCTGGGATTACAGGCGTGAGCCACCATGCCCGGCCTGCATAGACTCTTTTATTGGTTCTATATTTCTTTGTTTCATTATGCTTGTGCTATTTTGTTTTTACATATTTTATACTATATCTAATCTGCTATTGAAGCCATTTATCCTGTTTTAATTTCAGCTACTGTATTTTTTATTTCTAGATTTTGTTTGATATTTCTAGTGTTTCCATTTCTCCCCCAATTCTCTATCTTCCTATTTAATTATTTGAACATTTAATTTTAAATACTCTCTCGGATAACTTAAATATCTTGCCCTACTCCGGGTCCTCTCCTATTATATAAGTTTTCTCTTAATTTGTATTGAAAGTTTATCTAGTTTTTAACTTATCTTTCTGTGTACTTCAATGAACAGAAGATATTGTAGACTGAAAGTTTTAGAGGTAATTTAAGGCTCTGTAGAATTTAATCTTCTCTTCCTTTCAGGAAGATATGAAATTTTGATTTTCCTTTTCTTTCTTTCTTTCTTTCTCTCTTTCTCTCTTTCTTTCTTATTGGCCAGGCTGGTCTCAAACTCCTGACCTCTGATGATCCACACACCTTGGCCTCCAAAAGTACTGGGATTAGAGGCCTGAGCCACCGCGCCTGGCCGATTTTTCTTTTGACATATGTCAAACTTCTACTCAGATTCTAATCCTGTAAACTGACCTTCAAACAATAACTTTTGTTGAATCTTCTCCATATTTTCTAGTTGTTCTCAGTAAGAAGTTTGGTTCAAAGCGACAATCGCTAGAAGAAGATTCCAAGAACAGCTTGTTCTGAGTATTCTTGCTATGTTTGATCAGTGACAGCCTTTATGAATCTCATCTCACCTCCCCAATCTATTTCATACATAACCTATAAGCATATGATGATGACTTTGCCAGTCAGACTTGTCCACGTGAGACCTTAATTGGGAAATCCACATTATGAAATAAAACACCGTAATGTACTCATTTTGCTGGAGAAAGGCAACATAGCAAGCTGTTTTCTCCAGTGCTCACAGAGTAACACCAATAGTAATGGTTTCTTCAGACACCATTGTTTTGGATATTGCTCCTGGAAGCTTTGGCTTGAGTCTACTTCCAGGTTTCCAAATGATCCTGTGAGCTGCACGAAAGCCGTTTAATTAACTCTTGACTAATTAATCAGCGATAATTTTGTTTTGCGATTTCAAATAAAAACCTATGTTGATAGAATTGCAGCTAGTGTTAGAGTTTTATTAAGCTTTTTCTTCTTGAAATGTCTGTTTTCTGTCCTTGCTTCTCTAAACTGACCACTCCGCGTCTTAGACAAGGCTCACCAGGATTTCAGACCTGGGCCTGTGTGATGCTCATTTAATGATCTCCCAATCTATTGGTTTATTTTCTCCAATATGTACCATGATCAGTTTTATGGCATTTAATAGTGCTTTGATCAAGTTATTCCACCTCTTAAAAACTGTTAGTGGCTCCTTGGTAAAAAAAATAATGACCACATTTACTACTTATGAGATGATTTTTTTTCTCCTGATGCTAAAATTTTCACTGTTTCAAGTACTTTCATGTTATTTGTTTGCCTGTTTTTTTTTTTTTTTTTTTTTTTGGTTTTTTACTCCCCATATATGCTTCTGGATTTAATTAAGTTGTTTGCTACACCTTTCTTCAGGCACACTCTATTTTCTTCTCTCCTTGGTCTCACATTTGCCCTGAATTCTATAAGCTCACTCATTTCCTCTCTTTTCTCTATAAGCTCACTGATTTCTTCCCTTCTCTCCAATCACTATTCCAATATTCAGACTTTTAAAAATGGGAACCTAATTATCAACACATCTAAAATTTATACTATTGTTTTATGTAGTCTAAGACAAGGAATATTAACATCACATCAAATGTTTAGAAATGCTAGAAAATGACAATGAACTTTGCTTAATCCTTTCTTATTATTTTTACTATAAAATATTCTTAAATACAAGTTTATTATTCATCTATTATTTACTTATGTGCTAAAAGACATAAAATTAATACTATGGAAGTAGGATTTATGGGAGAAAGCATTTATTTATAAGAAAATATAGATAATTATGAAAAACAAATAAATTATACATGTTTTATTTCTATTTATTTTCAAATGATTTAAAGACTTTGTCCATTTAGATTTCTAGCTGCTTTAGTAAAATGCTGTAAATTGGATAGCTATGTACAACAGAAATTTATTTCTCATGGTTCTGCTATGAGATAGCAAGTAAGTTCTACTCTTTCCATGAGTTCCTTAATACCACTCTTTCCTTCTTGTTCTCTACCTTCTCTAAAATTTTAACATAACACTTGTGTTAATACTACAAAATTTAGCACTTGATTATTTATTATCTTCTTCACATGTGATATTATTAGATTAATCATTTCAGGGCATAGACAACAAGCTGTATTTCCTCAGTAACCCTAAAAGAACTTGAGTTTGCTAATTTCAAAAATGGTGATAAAGCTAGTTAAGGAAATTCCTTTAAGTGAATATCGATATTCTTAAAGTGAAGTATCAAAATTTTTTTTAATTACTCAGTTATCACCTTAGGAACCCCAGGAAAGTGGATATGACAAATGAGTAAACAGTGTTTAAATAGCGAAAAAGGATATATTAAAGAAAATAATTAAAGATCACCACTTGTTCTCTCCTGTGAGAGTGTTTGGATTAGTGGCAAATATTTAAACAGACAGAGACAGCATTAAGGTGGTAAGAACAATGCAAGGAAATTTAGAATACATCCGAAGGTACAAGAACTAAATGACACAGAAAGGAAAATTCCGATGAGATGAACAGGGTTGTAGAAGGCATACGAAAAACAGAATTGAGAGGAAATTTTACAAAGAGATACTGAAACAAAATAAAGGTCAAGCACCAAATGTCTTACCAATAGATACACTATGAATGGAGATGAAAAAACACTAACAACAATACAAGATCAATGTGGCCTCAAAGGCAAAGAGCTAAACAGAAATAAAGCAATGGAAATCACACATAATATTCTTATTTTATATGTTACTGAAAAAGGATAGTCAAGGAACAATGAGAAAATATGCCAATGTTCCACTATTAACAAAAGACTATGACTTTGCACTTCAAATAATCACAAATGAAAATATACAGTGAGAATAAGTGTTTCTGAGAAAATAAATTAGCTTCTTAATTTAGCAATAAAACAAAAGTTTAAAGATTCCAAGATTGAGGTTTTAGAGTAAAAATATAGAGTATATATTTTTATTTACTTGAAATAGAGATCTCAACTATTAATGGCTTTCAAAAGTATTAAAAACTTTTTTCCAATAATAATATATTACAACATAAGCAGTTATATTTATAGGAAATTTTTTTAAGTTAAGATATTCTTTTTTCCATTTATAGATTTTCTAGGTCGTCTGTAATTTCCCTTTGAGAATAATTTTACTGCTTACATAAAGGTTTTTGAGTAGATTATTATTTTACTTGCACAAATGCAAAGTGTTAACGTGTTACAGCTACTCTATCTGTAGTAGCTTCAACTTAGAAAAATGTGTACCCTCTGAATCTAAAAGTTGAAATTATTTTTTTTAAAAAAAGGAACCTTTAAAAATGTCATTTTGCAGCAGTCCACTAGATGTCACTCAAGATAAGGTTCCCCCTCTAACAGCCCCAACTCCCCTTTATCTTTAAAAAAAATAAAGAAGTAAACTCTTAATTAACTATTAGCTCATTATTCTTATTTGACAGATATAATATATGGGTTTGTATTAATTCAAATTTTGTTATTTCCTACTGAAGCTTCAGGTGCATGTCTGTTGCATATAAAGAAAACTTTAGGATTAATAATAAATTTGGTTTATTATACTAGGGAAAAAGTAAGATGGATGTCTTTATTAGAGTGAAGGTTCTGTGAACAAAGCAATTATCTGGAGCTTAGCCTTTAATTTCCAGTTAGGTATGTGCAATTAATAGAAATCAGTTCAAAAAATCAGTCTTACCAATTGTTTTGTATTGATGGGCAAGTTTTATTGATGAGTGACTCATAATGTCATATTTGAGTTTGAGCTTGTTTATGGTTTTAAATAGAGATTATGCTAGCAAGATATTTTCTATCGTGAAGAAACTACAGAATTGGCATAGATTGATACCCTTTTCATCAAAAATTTATAAAATCATCTGCTTGACATTGTACAAGGTCTCCACTTTCTGGTTTCATAGCAGAACTCGCTACTTGTTCCTCAAGAAGTTTGGGGAGCCATGCTTACAATCTGACATATTGGTATGCAACAGAGAGGACTTAAGTAATAATCAACTGTGCTTACTTTGTCTCTTTAAAATAAATTGCATATCACTTTTTAAAATTGTAGCTTGCAAAAATTTTTCTTTTTTTTTCTATTATACTTTAAGTTCTAGGGTACATGTGCACAACATGCAGGTTTGTTACATAGGTATACATGTGCCATGTTGGTTTGCTGCACCCATCAACTTGTCCTTTACATAAGGTATTTCTCCTATCCCTCCCCCAGCCCCCATCCCCTGACAGGCCCTGATGTGTGATGTTTCCTGCCCTGTGTCCATGTGTTCTCATTGTTCAACTCCCACCTATGAGTGAGAGCATAAGGTGTCTGGTTTTCGGTCCTTATGTTAGTTTGCTGAGAATGATGATTTCCAGCTTCATCCATGTCCCTGCAAAAGACATGAACTAATCCTTTTTTGTGGCTGCATAGTATTCCATGGTGTATATGTGCCACATTTTCTCAATCCAGTCTATCACTGATGGACATTTGGGTTGGTTCCAAGTCTTTGCTATTGTGAATAGTGCTGCAATAAACATGTGTGTGCATGTGTCTTTATAGTAGCATGATTTATAATCCTTTGGATATATACCCAGTAATGCGATCACTGGGTCAAATGGTATTTCTAGTTCTAGATCCTTGAGGAATCACCACACTGTCTTCCACTATGGTTGAACTAATTTACACTCCCACTAACAGTGTAAAAGTGTTCTTATTTTTCCAAATCCTCTCCAGCATCTGTTGTTTCCTAACCTTTTAATGATCATCATTCTAACTGGAGTGAGATGGTATCTCATTGTGGTTTAGATTTGCATTTCTCTAATGACCAGTGATGATGAGCACTTTTTCATATATCTGTTGGCTGCATGTCTTCTTTTGAGAAGTGTCTTTTCATATCTTTTGCCCACTTTTTGATAGGGTTGTTTGTTTTTTTTCTTGTAAATTTCTTTAAGTTCTTTGTAGATTCTGGATATTAGTCCTTTGTTAGATGGGTAGATTGCAAAAATTTTCTCCCATTGTGTAGGTTGCCTGTTCACTCTGATGATAGTTTATTTTGCTGTGCAGAAGCTCTTTAGTTTAATTGGATCCCATTTGTCTATTTTGGCATTTGTTGCCGTCGCTTTTGGTGTTTTAGTCAGGAAGTTCTTGCCCATGCCTATGTCCTAAATGGTATTGCCTAGGTTTTCTTCTAGGGTTTTTATGGTTTGAGGTCTTACATTTAAGTCTTTAATCCATCTTGAGTTAATTTTTGTATAAGGTGTAAGGAAGGGATACAGTTTCAGCTTTCTACATATGGCTAGCCAGTTTTCCCAGCACCATTTATTAAATAAAGAATCCTTTACCCATTTCTTGTATTTGTCAGGTTTGTCAAAGATCAGATGGTTGTAGATCTGTAGTGTTATGTGTTATTTCTGAGGCTTCTGTTCTGTTTCATTGGTCTATATATCTGTTTTGGTGCCAGTACCATGCTGTTTTGGTTATTGTAGCCTTGTAGTATAGTTTGAAGTCAGATAGCGTGATGCCTCCAGCTTTGTTCTTTTTGCTTAGGATTGTGTTGGCTATGCGGGCTCTTTTTGGGTTCCATATGAACTTTAAATTAGTTTTTTCCAATTCTGTGAAGAAAGTCATTGGTAGCTTGATGAGGATGGCATTGAATCTGTAAATTACCTTGCGCAATATGACTATTTTCACCATATTGATTCTTACTATCCATGAGCATGGAATGTCCTTCCATTTGTTTGTGTCCTCTTTTATTTCCTTGAGCAGTGGTTTGTAGTTCTCCTTGAAGAGGTCCTTCACATCCCTTGTAAGTTGGATTCCTAGGTACGTTATTCTCTTTTTAGCAATTGAATGTGAGTTCACTCACGATTTGGCTCTCTGTTTGTCTGTTACTGGTGTATAAAAATGCTTGTGATTTTTGCATATTGATTTTGTATCCTGAGACTTTGCTGAAGTTGCTTATCAACTTACGGAGATTTTGGGCTGAGATGATGGGGTTTTCTAAATATATAATCATGTCATCTACAAACAGGGACAATTTGACTTCCTCTTTTCCTAATTGAATACACTTTATTTCTTTCTCTTTTTGTAATTGAATACACTTTATTTCTTTCTCTTTCCTGATTACCCTAGCCAGAACTTACAACACTATGTTGAATAGGAGTGGTGAGAGAGGGCTGCCTTGTCTTGTGCCAGTTTTCAAAGGGGATGCTTCCAGTTTTTGCCCATTCAGTATGATATTGGCTGTGGGTTTGTCCTAAATAGCTCTTATCATTTTGAGATACATTCCATCAATACCTAGTTTATTGAGAATTTTTAGCATGAATTGTTGTTGAATTGTGTTGAAGGTGTTTTCTGCATCTATCGAGATAATCATGTGGTTTTTATCTTTTGTTCTGTTTATATGATGGATTATGTTTATTGATTTGCATATGTTGAACCAGCCTTGCATCCCAGGGATGAAGCCGTCTTGATTGTGGTGGATAAGCTTTTTCATATGCTGCTGGATTCAGTTTGCCAGTATTTTACTGAGGATTTTCACATCAATGTTCATTAAGGATATTGGTCTAAAATTCTCTTTTTTTGTTGTGTCTCTGCCAGGCTTTGGTATCAGGATGATACTGGCCTCAGAAAATGAGTTAGGGAGGATTTCCTCTTTTTCTATTGATTGGAATAATTTCAGAAGGAATGGTACCAGCTCCTCTTTTTACCTCTGGAAGAATTCGGCTGTGAATCCGTGTGGTCCTGGACTTTTTTTGGTTGGTAAGCTATTAAATATTGCCTCAATGTCAGAACCTGTTATTGGTCTATTCAGAGATTCAACTTCCTCCTGGTTAAGTCTCAGGGGGTGTATGTGTCCATGAATTTATCCATTTCTTCTAGATTTTCTAGTTTATTTGTGTAAAGGTGTTTATAGTATCCTCTGATGGTAGATTGTATTTCTGTGGGATCAGTGGAGATGTCCCCTTTATCATTTTTTATTGTGTCTACTTGATTCTTCTCTCTTTTCTTCTTTATTAGTCTTGCTAGTGGTCTATTTTGTTGATCTTTTCAAAAAACCAGCTCCTGGATTCATTGATTTTTTGAAGGTGTTTTTTTTCTGTCTTGATCTCCTTCAGTTCTGCTCTGATCTTAGTTGTTTCTTGACTTCTGCTAGCTTTTGAATTTGTTTGCTCTTGCTTCTCTAGTTCTTTTAATTGTGATGTTAGGGTGTCAATTTTAGATCTTTCCTGCTTTCTCTTGTGGGCATTTAGTGCTATAAATTTCCCTCTACACACTGCTTTGAATGTGTCCCAGAGATTCTGGTATGTTGTGTCTTTGTTCTCATTGGTTTCAAATAACATCTTTATTTCTGCCTTCATTTTGTTATTTACCCAGTCATCATTCAGGAGCACGTTGTTCAGTTTCCATGAAGTTGTGTGGTTTTGAGTGAGTTTCTTAACCCTGAGTTCTAATTTGATTGCACTGTGATCTGAGAGACTGTTTGTTGTGATTTCTGTTCTTCTACACTTGCTGAGGAGTGTTTTACTTCCAATTATGTGGACAATTTTAGAATAAGTGCAATGTGGTGCTGAGAAGAATGTATATTCTGTTGATTTGGGATGGGGAGTTCTGTAGATGTCTATTAGGTTTGCTTGTTGCAGAGCTGAATTCAAGTCCTATATATCCTTGTTAACCTTCTTTTGTTGACCTTCTGTTTGTTGATCTAATATTGACAGTGGGGTGTTGAAATCTCCCATTATTATTGTGTGGGAGTCTAAGTCTCTTTGTAGGTCTCTAAGGACTTCCTTTATGAATCTGGGTGCTCCTGTATTGGGTGCATATATATTTAGGATAGTTAGCTCTTCTCGTTGAATTGATCCCTTTACCATTATGTAATGGCCTTGATTGTCTCTTTTGATCTTTGTTGGTTTAAAGTCTGTTTATCGGAGACAAGGACTGCAACCCCTGCTTTTTTTTGCTTTCCATTTCCTTGGTAGATTATCTTCCATCCCCTTTATTTTGAGCCTATGTGTGTCTCTGCATGTGACATGAGTCTGCTGAATACAGCACACTGATAGGTCTTGACTCTTTATCCAATTTGCCTGTCTATGTCTTTCAATTGGGGTATTTAGTCCATTTACATTAAAGGTTAATATTGTTATGTGTGAATTTGATCCTGTCATTTTGATGTTAGCTGGTTATTTTGCCTACTAATTGATGCAGTTTCTTCATAGCATCTATGGTCTTTACAATTTGGCATGTTTTTGCAGTGGCTGGTACCAGGTGTTCCTTTCCATTTTTAGTGCTTCCTTCAGGAGCTCTTGTAAGGCAGGCCTGGTGGTGACAAAATCTCTCAGCCTTTGCTTGTCTGTAAAGATTTTATTTCTCTTTCACTTATGAAGCTTAGTTTGGCTGGATATGAGATTCTGTGTTGAAAATTCTTTTCTTTAAGAATGTTGAATATTGGCCCCTACTCTCTTCTGGCTTGAAGGGTTTCTGCTGAGAGATCTGATGTTTGTCTGATGTGCTTCCCTTTGTGGGTAACCCGACCTTTCTCTCTGGCTGCCCTTAACATTTTTTCCTTCATTTCAACCTTGGTGAATCTGACAATTATGTGCCTTGGGGTCGCTCTTCTCAAGGAGTATCTTAGTGATGTTCTTTGTATTTCCTGAATTTGAATGTTGGCCTGCCTTGCTAGGTTTGGGAAGTTCTCCTGGATAATATCCTGAAGAGTGTTTTCTAACTTGTTTCCATTCTCCTCATCAATTTCAGGTACACCAGTCAAATGTAGATTTGGTCTTTTCACATAGTCCCATATTTCTTGGAGGCTTTGTTTGTTTCTTTTTACTCTTTTCTCTCTAAACCTGTCTTCTCAATTTATTTCATTAATTTGATCTTCATTCATTGATATCCTTTCTTCCACTTGATTGAATCGGCTATTGAAGCTTGTGCATGCATCATGAAGTACTCATGCTATGGTTTTCAGCTCCATCAGATCATTTAAGGTCTTCTCTACACTGTTTATTCTAGTTAGCCATTCATCTAACCTTTTTTTCAAGGTTTTTAGCTTCCTTGTGATGGATTAGAACATGCTCCTTTAGCTCGGAGAAGTTTGTTATTACCAACCTCCTGAAGCCTACTTCTGTCAACTCATCAAACTCATTCTCCATCCAGTTTTAGTCTGTTGCTGGTGAGGAGATGCAATCCTTTGGAAGAGAAGAAGCACTCTGGTTTTTGGAATTTTCAGCTTTTCTGCTCTAGTTTCTCCCCATCATTGTGGTTTTATCTACCTTTAGTCTTTGATGTTGGTGACCTACAGATGGGGTTTTGGTGTGTATGTCTTTTTTGTTGATGTTGATGCTATTCCTTTCTGTTTGTTAGATTTCCTTCTAACAGTCAGGTCGCTCAGCTGCAGGTCCGTTGGAGTTTGCTGGAGTTCCACTCCAGACCCTGTTTGCCTGGGTATCACCAGCGGAGGCTGCAGAACAGCAAATACTGCAGAACAGCAAAATATTGCTGCCTGATCCTTCCTCAGGAAGGTTCGTCCCAGAGGGGCACCCACCTGTATGAGGTGTCTGTCAGCCCCTACTGGGAGGGGTTTCCCAGTCAAGCTACATGGGGGTCAGGGACCCACTTCAGGAGGCAGCCTGTCCATTCTCAGAGCTCGAACGCCATACTGGGAGAACCCCTACTCTCTTCAGAGCTGTCAGACAGGGACGTTTTAAGTGCGGAGAAATTGTCTGCTGCCTTTTGTTCAGCTATGCCCTGCCCACAGAGGTGGAGTCTAGAGAGGCAGTAGGCCTTGCTGAGCTGCGGTGGACTCCACCCAGTTTGAGCTTCCCAACCACTTTGTTTACCTACTCAAGACTCAACAAAGGCTGATGCCCCTCCCCCCGCCAGGCTGCAGCTTCCCAGGTTGATCCCAGACTACTGCACTAGCAGTGAGCAAGGTTCCATGGGTGTGGGACCTGCCGAGCCCGGCATGGGAGGGAATCTCCTGGTCTGCCGGTTGCTAAAACTGTGGGAAAACACAGTATTTGGGCAGAAATGTACCATTCCTCCAGGTACATTCTGGTTCAGCTTCCCTTGGCTAGGAAAGGGAAATTCCCCAACTCATTGCACTTCCCTGGTGAGGCAATGCCCCACCCTGCTTTGGCTCGCCCTTCATGGGCTGCACCCATTGTCCAACCAGTCCCAGTGAGATGAACCAGGTACCTCAGTTGGAAATGCAGAAATCACCCATCTTCCGTATCCATCTCACTGGGAGCGGCAGACCGCAGCTGTTCCTATTCAGCCATCTTGGAAGAGACCACAACTTTTCTTAACAGTAAATGTGAAACTAGCCCTAGAGCATACTATAATTGATAAATTGTCACTATTATTCAACAAACATCTCTTGGAAAAAAATAAATTTTTTGCTTAGGGATATATTTTATTTCTATTTTTCATAAACTTCTTATTTTATGTGCTAATACCAAGTTGTTTTTTTCAAATTGAACTACATTCTCCCAAAACATGACCTAATGCATGGGATTATATTTGGCACTTAAGAAATGTATTAATTCTTCAATTCACTAGGGCATTAAGCAAAGTGAGTGTTTCATTGCATGATATAGTACTCTGGGGCCTGAGTTAGTACTTCATATTGCTTAGCTCAAGGAAAAGCCTAGTGCATAATTAGTTTTAGCTGTACAGGGTTAAATTTTTACTAGGGAAATGGAAGTTGAATGAGTAGTCTGATTTACCTTTAAATTTTGGATACAAAACTACACAGATAAAGGAGCTTAGAAAGAAAAGCAGGCTGTAGCCAACAGCAACCTGGGGAAAACATTTTTATATACATGAGACAATAGCTTTATTACATTAATAAAGTTTTCTAAGGCTAGTAAAAATATAATATAGATTTATGAACAAAAGATAGGAAATAAATAACTTACATTTAGGATCAATGGTCTAAATTTTATGATATATTAAGCTGACCAAATTTTAAAGCTTTTCCCATACCCAGCCCTTTTGAATACTAAAATAAACATGCATATGGGTCCTCAAGGAACATTTTTAAAGAGGTGTCACAACCAATAAAAATTATTAACAAATTAACCTACTGTCTGAAATAGAGTTTTGCATAATGTAACATGGAGTTCGAAGGTGATTGAGTCTTCCTTCATGAAGATAAGATGATTATGTATGGCTGAAGTTCCTACATGGCAGTAGTTTGTGATCATCCTTCTACTGATCCCACACTGTATGAGGGTTTCTTTTTTCTTTTTTTTAATCTCAGTAAGTTATTCTTTCTGTACTTTCTAGAAACTACTATGTAGTAATGGAAGGGAAGCGTCAATCTTAGAAAAGAAAGAAAGGAGTATGTCTTCTTTCTTCAGTATTCCTCTCTTTTCAGAGGCCACTATTCCATGATTCTGTTAGTTACTTAAGGAGATTAATTTGATGAATTCATATACAGAGAATGGCTGCGGAAAGAATGCTATTTTTCTTTGTTACCATTTTTTTTAACAAGAGTGGAATTTTGAATGTCACTAGAGAAAATATTTTGTGCAGACAGCTATTCAAAAGCTGTCTTGTAGCTTAACATAGGCTATCCTACTTCTTTTTCCTGCAAATTTATTAAATTGTTTGTAACAAGCAAGTTTTCAAAAAAGATTTAAGATGGTTTTCACAGAATGGCTTAAAGATAAAACAATTAAAATTTAGATAAAAATATAAGAACCATATAAGAAACAAAGAAAATTATCTTAAAAAATCCAAGAGCAAAGAATAATGGCGAATAAAATTTAGCTTTGGACATCTCACAGCTATGGTAAAATGAAGGCAAAGCAATAAAGCTTCTACCCTACGATGTGAGACATAGCTTTTCTATCTCTAGACTTGTAGAGGAATTTTTCCTCAGGGACAAGACATACCTGTAAGGCCCGCAATAATGAAGGAAAAGGAACAAATATCTCCGGCTTAGGTGCTGGATAGTTCATGTGAAATGGATAAACACAGCAGAGAAAGTTAAAATCCTTAACCCATGAATGACATCACTGTAGTCTACATATGTGAAGAACTAATTAGAATTACTTTTATTGTTCCACTTTTAGTGAAAAAGTAAAAAGGGGAGTATATTAAACCATTTGTTTGAAGTGCTTAAAAACCTTATTGTTGAAGCATACTATTATATTTTTAAATGAAATTCAAAATAGCACTTCGAGGTTTTCTACTCTTTGTTTTCTATTTTAAAATTTGCTTTCTACCACTTTAGATTAGATCAGCATTTTTAGGCTTTTCCTATAATCTAACACATAAAGGAATATAGTATTTTTGAGGTTTGAACTAAGATGCTTTAATTAATTTGAGATGTCTTTGAAATGATTTGTCAAGGTCCAATGTTTCCTAAAAGTACATGTAGCTATCTTCCAAAATTGTTTTTTCTTTCCTCCAATTTTACTGAATTATACTTTGGTGAAGTCCAGTAATTCAAGTGTTTGGCTAACAATCATCAAGGCCACAAAAACCCAGCCTCTGCTCTTGGCAGTATCAGGAACTTCATAGAATACATCACTTTCAAATTGCAGCTGCAAATGGTCTTGTTAAAGGTAATTCAGCAACATCAGTCAAGATGTTGCCTTGACACATAATGGAGGAGATTAGAAATAATGCATTCCTTCAGTAAACCACTCCACCTGTTTCTATCAATGATGCAGTCCTCTCTCGGGCAATTTTCCAAAGCTACATAGAGAACTGAATTCACGTGGACTGAAAGAGAAAAAAAAATTCTAATTGGAATCAAATCAGTTGAACTTATTATACTGAGACTGAAAGATAGAAGAGAGAACAGGGAGAAAAGTTTTAGAAATATGTATTTCAAAGAATGGTCTAGTTACCAGCATACTTAGAATCCAAAAGAAAAAAGAAAAATCACAAAATTAATGAAACTAAAGGTGTGTTAAGATTCTAAGAATGTGTTAAAATTCTAGTGTTACTCATAAATTGCAGATATATTCTAATGGATATAGAATACTACAAAGGGCTTGAAGCGTGTGAAAAGGGAGCCTCAGTCATTATAATCTCATATAGTAAGTGTAGAGTTAAGGGTTTTGAAGAAATGTATTTAGTCCTTATGCATGTCTCCAGAAAAATGCACAAGCATACAAGATATGCATAAAATAGCTTAGAGCATACATTTTGAATTGGCTTCCAGATTTGTTTATAAAAAATAAATACAAATTTATTGAGGGTGTCTTTGTATTCATCCCACAGAGCCTCAAAGGAGTTCATCCTACAAATGTGTAGGCCCATCAGCTGACTCTTTTGTCTGTCCTCTATATCTTGCTAGTAATATAAAATGAGTATAATTTATAGATATTTACAAAGTCATATTTTAATAGAGTTTAGAGAAAAAATTTATAACTGCATGATGCAATCTATTTCTTGGTATGGAAAATAATATCAATGTTAAGTATTTTAAATACCTTCATATTAATTATGCCAATACACCTGCCGTTAATTTTAAATACAAGCCAAAGTCATATTTTAGCTAATAGTAGATAATCTCTTCATCCTTGATGAGGAGAATTTTTAAAACTTTTTGTAATTATTTATTAGGAAGATACCTTGACATGCTAATGAAAATATGAAAATAAGTTATAATTACCACCCTTATAAATATGTAGTGAATTTTAAAGTTCATATTTTAATAATGGGATGCATCCATGGTGGATTGAAATGTATTGCTAAAGAAGACTAACAACAACACTAACTATTTTATAATCATAGTTTTATTTACCTCATTAGGGTTTATGGACACTTACTAAGAACTAGGTACTGGGGATACAAAATTGAATAAAGCTGGGATCTCGCTTCAAGTTGCTTATTTCAATCGTGGGTAATGTCATGTAACAAATGAATGAATGACAAAGGGAGAAATGTACAGAATATAGCCTGAGATTACAAAAGAGTAAAAATTAGTTCTGTTGTTGGTGTCAGAGAAAAGGTATTTATGGCAGGCTTCAAAAAATGGCTCAGAATGAGCTAGGAAGATAAGACTGTTAAAGGTATTCCAGGCAGAGAACTCTGATCAAGATACCTTGTCATTCTACAAAGAAAGATAAATCTATTTAATAAAAGGCTGGGGAGAAATCAAGGTGAGGCAGAAGAAATAGGTTAGAAACAAGTTACATAAGATCTTCTGTGCTCTGTTAGGGAATTTTGAATTAATTCCGCAAGAAGTGGGAAATTACTAAAGATTTTAGTGCTGGTAGATGGCCTGCAGTAGCTGGAGAGAAATTGTAGTGCTGTGCTATGGAGAAAAAATTGATGAATGGAAATATGTTTATTGTGGAATATTTCAGTCTGGAGAGAGGCCAGCTAAAAGAAAATGAAGGAATTTCTAGTTGGGGGGGGGTCTTGAGTTTGCAAGTTGGTGTAATAGTTGACTAATAATGTAAATTTGGGCAAGGTTATTGGTGCTTCCAAGCCTAACATACTCACGTAAAAAATAATGGTGAGTGAGACCTCCCTAAAAGGTTGTTGTGAGGATTAGATGAAGAAAAATAATGTTCACATATAGGAGGGCTGTTAAGTATTAGTTCTCTTTCCTAAAAGTAATCTAGACAGTTTAACTCCTAATCTGTAACTAAAATGATAATACTTAGTCTTTGTTTTAAAAGATTGCTAAACTAGGACATCCATAACCATAGATAACCAGTATTTGATTTCTATATTTTTACTCTTTAATTTTTTAAAAAATTTCTGATAGCTAAGATAAAATTCCTTAACAAGTATATTAATTTTATTTCTTCACTTTTAGTTATAAGAGAGAATGGAAAAAACAATGACGATACTACTCAGTGAAGTATTATTTGTGAATGTGAAGGTAGTGATAAAAAGTCCTTTTGAGCTTTCTTTTCAGAGTAAGCGATCCCTCTTTCAGTATTTATGTAGGGGTGGTCTAAGTGAGCTAAATATCCAAATCACAGGGGAAATTTAAGTGTTTGTTTCTGGACCTAACCCCAGACTTCCTGAGTCAAAATATCTGGGTCTAGAATGCCAAAATTATGTGTTTATCATCTCAACAATTTTAATACTCATCAATATTCAGAAGCTATTGCAGTATTTTCTTTCTCCTTCCCCCTTTCTTCTTTTTCTATCTCAGAGCTTAGTATCAACTTTAGTTTTAATGATTCTCCTAGATCTCCTTTTGTTATAACTCCTCCTTTATTTTAATTTGTATCATATGGAAGTGTTACATCTGTACCACTATAATCAGGTAAGAGAATAAAATGATGGCAGTGAGTACGGAATTTCACACGATTTACATTTTGTAGTCTGGCATATGCATTAAAAAAAAAATCCCAGTTTTTGTTTCTTTTTTTTTTTTTTTTCAGAAGGAGTCTTGCTCGGTCACCTCACCCAGGCTAGACTGCAGTGGCGCGATCTCGGCTCACTGCAAGCTCCGCCTCCCAAGTTCAAGCGATTCTCCTGCTTCGGCCGCCAGAGCAGCTGGGACTACAGGCGCCCGCCACCACGCCCGGCTAATTTTTTGTATCTTTAGTAGAGACAGGGTTTCACCGTGTTAGCCAGGATGGTCTCCATCTTCTGACCTCGTGATCCACCCGCCTCGGACTCCCAAATCGCTGGGATTACAGGCGTGAGCCATGCATATTTCCTTGTTAATGATAACTACAATAGCAAAGAGTTATTGAGTGAACACTGACAATGACCCTATGAGGTAGAGATGTTAGGTAAGGAGACTGAGAAAGGATAACTTAGTTAATTTACCTTAGGTCAAAGAGCTAGAAAACTAATATATTTAGGATTCAACCCCCCGAAAAATCTTCTCTTTTACTCTTTACATTACATCATGTTACCTCCCTATTCTGTCCCGAGAGGGCCATTATATTATTTCCAATCCTCTGACATTGTGACTAGATCAAGATCTGCGAGCGTACTGTCATCTGTGACCAGCATGATGCTAGTATAGGTGTAGGAAGAAGAAAGAGATTGACTGGCAAGATTTAACTAGCCATCTTATTAAATGTCTCTATTCAATGAGAGCTGAGACAGATAAATATCAAACAGTGAGTGTCACTTTTAACCAATTGGAAATATCAAGGGCTTATCTCAGAAGAGGATTATGCCTCTGTTAGAAAACTCTAGGATGGCTACATGCTTAGGACAGAGGGATGAGAGAAAATTGTTGGATCACAAAAAAAAAAAAGATAAATTATATATGATTTCATGATTAAGGTGGTATATACTCACAAAATGTAAAAATATTGCCTGTTGTATCCTAGCCACCCTGTGCTTGAAATGCCAACTAAATGTGACATGGGAGATTGGTGCTTAGGACAATGACTACCTTATCCTCTCTCCCCTTGTAATGAGAGGGATTTCTGGTTGTTTTCTCCATGGAGAAACCATTTATTAAATATTATGATGCTTGGCAATTTGCCTCACTGGAAGATATTTGGCTAATCCCTTTCATTATCTATAAAATCAGAATAACAATAATAACTATGTGTTTGGGGGTACTGTTTTCAATTTTAGCTTTTACTGTTTTTATTGTTATTTTTATATTTATTTAAAGTTGTCAGCCAATGAGCACAACCATCTGGTTAACAATTGTGAAATAGTACAGAGGCTCCTTGACTTATAATGGGGTCTATAAATCAACCGTGAGTTCAAAATATCAAAAAATCCTGTGTCAAAAATGCTCTTAATACAACTAACCTACCAAACATCACAGCTTAGCTTAGCCTACCTTAAATGTGCTCAGAAAACTTGCATTAGCCTACAGTTGGGCAAAAGCACCTAACAAAAAATTCTGTTTTATTATAAAGTGTTGAATATCTCATGTAATTTATTGAACACCGAAAGTGAAAAACAGAATGGTTGTATGAGTACTTGAAGTAAGGTTTCTACTAAATGTGTATTGATTTTTGGTATGGTTTGGCTGTGTCCCCACCCAAATCTTATCTTGAATTGTAGCTCCCATAATTCCCACGTGTTGTGGGAGAAACTCAGTGGGAGATAATTGAGTCATGGGGATGGTTTCCCCCATACTGTTCTCGTGGTATGAGTAAGTCTCATGAGATCTGATGGTTTTATAAGGGGAAACCCCTTTCTCTTGGATCTCATTGTCTCTTGTCAGCCACCTTGTAAGAAATGTCTTTTGCTTTCCACCATGATCATGAGACCTCACCAGCCACGCGGAACTGTGAGTCCATTAAACCTCTTTCTCTTTATAAATTACTCATTCTTGAGTATGTTTTTATCAGTTGCATGAGAAAGGTGAATACACTTTTGCACCATCATAGAAATGAAAAATTGTAACTTCAGGCCGGGCGCTGTGGCTCACGCCTGTAATCCCATCACTTTGGGAGGCCAAGACGGGTGGATCACGAGGTCAGGAGTTCAAGACCAGCCTGGCCAAGATGGTGAAACCCCATCTCTACTGAAAATACAAAAATTAGCTGGGCGTGGTAGCGGGTGCCTGTAATCCCAGCTACTCAGGAGGCTGAGGCAGAGATTGCTTGAACCTGGAAGGCTGAGTTTGCAGTGAGCTGGAATAGTGCCACTGCACTCCAGCCTGGGTGACAGAGTGAGACTCCATTTCAAAAAAAAAAAAAAGAAAAGATTGTGATTTCAACCATCACAAGTCAGGGACCATCTATATTTACTTACTCTTCCACTATATAGAATATTCACACTAAAGAGGATGATCCAATAGTCAACTGTCATTTATTTGAAAAGGAAAATGTAAAGGGTAGGACCTTGACTACTTTCACTGAAATGATGCTAATTTTGTATCAAATTGATGTTTTATTCTTTATCAGTGTTTTAATCTACCATAGTGTTTGTAACATCAATCTTATAACCATGAGCCTGAAATCATATGAAGCCTTCTTGAAAAGGCCCTGGGTCCTCTTTAAATACTACAGAATCTGCATCTCTTGGAGTAAAACCACATATTAAAAAATACATTTATTTCAGATAATTCCTACTAACATAAAGTTTGATTGATGACTATTGATTCAATCTCTGTGAATCTTTTACTGTGTGTGTGCATGTATATATATAAAATGTGCATACATATAGATATGTGTGTATATATATGATGTACACATAAAATAATTTTTACTCAAATAATATCTTGTTTTATTTTCTCAGAATACTTTCTTTTTCAGTTCTGACCTGTATTAAACAGTGTAACATTCTCCTTTTACAAATAGGTATCATCAGACAAACTTAAAGATGATCTGACAATGTCATTTTCCAAGGGACTGATAGAAAGATTGAGTATCATGGAATCAGAACAGACAACAGAGAATCAGGTATTTATCTTTAGAACCAATGATAGACTTGGAGGCTATTTATTCATTGCCAAAAATCTGAATAAAATGTCAGACTTCAAACGTATTGATAAATCTCTGTATCAGTGGGAAAAACTTTAAACAGTCAGGCTGCATCAGGTCGGTTTTGTTTGGCTATCTATATATTAAAAAAACACGATTTTTTAAACTTAATTAGTTGTTGGTACTTTAAAATCAGAAGTCTGCAATTACAATGTCAGATTTCCAATCTCCTCTAAAAAATGGTAAATCTGGAAAAACTGTGCCCACATAACCATATTGTAGCTGAAGACAACCTGTCCCTTTTTGGTGGATGCTCACACTCCAGGGAGCTTCATTTCACACAGGCCAGCTTTGCTCATTTACGTTACTCCTTTGGGCACTCAGGTTTGTAACCCTTACTCTAGACATTTTGCATAAGGTCAACTATACCATCTGAAAAAGCAGCAGTTAATACGTGTTTGTTAGAATGAATACAAGATATATGAATAAGTACATCTGGAAAACTAAATTTTAAAATTTAAAATCCCAAATCTGAGATTATATTGTCACATTTTTGGTTAAGGATCTTGATATAGTTTGGCTGTGTCCCCACCCAAATCTCATCTTGAATTGTAGCTCCCATAATCCCCTTGTGTCATGGGAGGGATCCAGTGGGAGGTAATTGAATCACGGGGGCAGGATTTTTCATGCTGTTCTCATGATAGTGAATAAGTCTTACAACATCTGATGGTTTTATAAAGGGCAGTTCCCCTGCACGTACTCTCTTGACTGCCGCCATATAAGACATGCTTTTCCTCCTACTTCACCTTCTGCCATGTGGAACTGCGAGTCCATTCAACTTCGTTTTCTTTGTAAAGTACCCAGTCTTCATAGCAGTATGAAAATGGACTAACACAGACCTCTAATTGCTTAGCCACTAATAATTAGATAACCTAGAATGTATAGTTTTTATTTATCATGAAGTTTATATAAAAAAGCACCCACAGTTATGTCTTTTGCACTTTTACAGAAGTAAATTGTGTTATAAATTTGCTAACCCAAGATAAGAATTATTCTGTAATCCCTAAACTATTATATTATCTATTTCTATTGTCCTGTATTTTCCTAATTAGAAAAAGTAAACTTGTATGTTCTGGAGTCAGCTTGTTTTCAGTTTGAGGAATAAGAAATTTTATTCTGTGGTAATGACGTGTCATGTTCCTTTCCACTGCCATAGTTTGCCATTTCCTTTAGTATAATTTAAAATTTTTAAACTAGTTTCAGTTACAAAATGTGTATTTACCATCCAAATTCAATACTTTTTCCAAAAGGATTTGTTTGAACCACTATGCTTGTCAATATATAAGAGCAGTTTGATAATGTACTGAAACAATGCCTTCAATGAGGCTTCTCCTTTTCTTTCTACTCAGTGAGATATTCCAGTGAAAGCTCATAAAACATGTGGTCTCATCAAAATATTCCAGCAAAAAGAGTGAGATTTATTTTTTAACTTTAAGAGTGTTAGCTTTTTAAAGAATATTTTTTCCAGGTTCTAGTGATCATTCTAACATAAAATGCTACCGAATATATAATAGGCTTAGGTCTTTTTCAGGAATTGCAGAAAAAATTTTTTTAAAAAATTGTGAAAGTAGGTCATATTGACTTAATTCTGTCTTTGTTGTTTTAAAAGATTTGGACTGAATCAGAATAAACAGGCAATGCAGACACTTGTTCTCTGAATCACAATCAAGACTCAGTGCTGGAACAGATTTGAGGAATGTATACAATTCTTATCTAAACTGATGTCTGATATTTAACCAGGTTAAAGTTTTTTCTTTTATTTTAATGTGAGAAAAATTTAACAGATAATACATTTTCCCTTCACTACTCAATGTCTCAGTTAGAATTTCATCTGAATTGCATTTATTCAATTCATTTTATTTCTTGACTTGGTGGATTTAATATTCCTGGCATGCTTTGAAAACATGGCTGAATGCATTTATGAATGAAAATTGACAAATCCTAGTTCTGTTTCTTAAATACATTATTTGTCACAAGCTTTAGAAGAAAATCACTAATTATTTAATGTGGTTGTATTTTCAAATCCCTGAAAAGTGTTGAATGCTATATACCAAACATATATTGGCATATCAAATGTTGCCCAAGAGTCAAGCATGACTTTTATAAGAAGTTGCAAGAAAAGATTGAAAATATTTGTAAAAATGAATATTTTGTCACTCTTTAAGAACCAGAATGCTTTGATCTACATTTGTAGATTTCTAGTTTGGATAAGTTATTTGGAGAAATAAACAAAATTGTTTTATTGAAAAAGTTTTATGTTAATTTCATAGTTGACTGTTTCCATGGAAAATAAAAATATTTTTGACTCTTACCATAAACTCTTAGATTTAATGTCACCTTTGGTTGTTTATCTGTACATTTCTTCCTATTCAATCTCCAGACATATCTCCAAATATATCACGGTATAAAAAGTAGAAAACACTGTAGAATAATTTTCTCCACTTATTTTACGGGATTTTATGAATGTCTCGTAATCTTTGTCAAACACTTTTATTTTACTTAAAAAGGCAAATACACAGCAAACAAAATTGTATATGGGCTCTGTGTGATCAAAATAAAACCATTCAGAATCATTGCACGTTAGTGTTAAAGATGATGTGAAAAAATAAAACGTGTATGCATTCATTACCTATTCATATTGTGAAATATTGTTGATGATTTGCAAACCTTAACATATTATTAGTTACTTTCTGTTGTGGACTGAATTGTGTCTTCCCAAAATTCATATGTTGAAACTCTGAACCCCAATGTGACTGTATTTGGAGATAAGGCCTTTAGGGAGGTAACTAAGTTTAAATGAGGTCATGAGTTTTGGGCCCTAGGCCAGTATTCTTACAAGAACAAAAAGAGACACAAGAGATTTCTCTCTCTCTTTTCCCCAACACACACAAAGAAAGGGCCATGTGAGAGGTTATCTACATGTCAGGCAGAGAGGCCTTACAAGGAACCAACCTTCATAGCACCTTGTTCTTGGGCTATTAGCTTCTGGAACTGTAGAAAACAAATTCCTGTTGTTTAGGCTATCCAGTCTCAGATATGTTGTTATGTCAGCTCTAGAAGACCTTATTCATATATGCATGGCATTCTTATAGCCACTCAAAATAAAAGAAATTATCATGTAATTTTGCATTCTTAGACAAATCTCCCATGTTGGCATTGAAAACTTTTCTAATTTTCTCCAGGAATCAACTTACTCTGGTGAGCTTTGTTGAGAGTAGATTTTTTGAGGAAAGAATTGAAGGAGTGGCCATATTCATACTAGAATAAAACATAGGAGATGTCAAGATTATCTGAAGGTAGGGGAGAAGAGAATGCTGATAACTTAGCCGATTCCACTAAATATTTTCTTTAGTGGGACACTTGCCAAATCATACAATGTATGTACACTATCGACTACCTCTGTTTAATACTCTATAGCAGTCTTCATAATTATAACCACCATTTTGAATACGTCCTAGGTATCTATTACTGAATATTCAGCATTTCATTAAATATTATGGCAATTTTTTTTTTTTTTTTTTTTTGAGACGGAGTCTTGCTCTGTCACCCAGGCTGGAGTGCAGTGGCGCGATCTGGGCTCACTGCAAGCTCCGCCTCCCGGGTTTACGCCATTCTCCTGCCTCAGCCTCTCGAGTAGCTGAGACTACAGGCGCCGGCCACCACACCAGGCTAATTTTTCGTATTTTTAGTAGAGACAGGGTTTCACCGTGTTAGCCAGGATGGTCTCGATCTCCTGACCTCATGATCTGCCCGCCTTGGCCTCCCAAAGTGCTGGGATTACAGGCGTGAGCCACCGCTCCAGGCCACATTATGGGAAATTCTTAATACAAGTATTGTTAACTCATTTGACAGATTAGAAGACTGAAGGTCAAATCTAAATATTTTTTAAAGAGCATGCACTTGAAGAAAATTTATTTTGAACTAAAGTTTGGTTTCAAATTTATTACTGTAAATTATTTTGATATTAAAAAGTCAACTTTACAGAAAAATTGATATGATTGATCTATAGTTCAATCATATCTAGATAATCATTATCATAGATAATATCTATGATTGATCTATTAGATAATATGATCTATCTAATGAATCTATTAGATAATCTGATCTATCTAATGAATATGTGAAAATACTTTTTTCTCTCCTCCTTTTCTCCTAATTTTGGCTTGTTTTCTAAAGAACCTAGATTTATCTTCTGGGTGTTTATATACAAGTTTGGATCTGTTTGTCCATAGGACTTTTATTCATAATAATGCCACCATAAGTCTGGAAAATCTAGTGTCCCACAGTGAACACATTTAAGAGTAATCTATAGAAAGCCACAAGGCAAACACAAAGCAGTAAACAATATATGAACCAGTGCACCTGCAAATTACTTGTCAGAGCTAAGAGTTTCTAGTGACATTAAATATCCCTCACATGGAATATTTCTATTGATTCAGGGTTCATGGAAGGCAAGGGACAAAGGATCATGTTGACTACAACTCAGCTTCTTTTTCTTAATTGATCTTGTGTGTGATTGTCACTCTCGATCAATGTTGAGAAAGAGGAGCCTCTATATCCAGAATTCATCTTCTGAATTCTCCTTACTGATATTGCACCATTACTTATCCCAATCACTGTCAGTTTTTCTTGGCAAATTCTTGGATTTATTTAATGACATAAGCCAGTAATTTGCAACACGTGGTCCCAGACAGCAGCATCAGCATAGCCAGTTGGTATGGGCTGAATTATGTCACCCTGAAATTCATATGTTGAAGATCTAACTTGGAAGACTGTGACTATATTTGGAGAGAGAGCATTTAAAGTGGTGATTAAGTTAAACTGGAGCTATTAGAGTGGTTCCTAATCCAGTATGTCTGTTATCCTTATAAGAAGGGGAGAGAAGAGACACCAGATACTTGCAGACACAGAAGAAATACCATGTGCAAACATACCCAGAAGACCACCATCTGCAAGAGAAGGAGAGAGACCTCAGAATACACCAATGCTGCTGAAACCTTCATCTTGGACTTCCAGCCTCCAGACTTTGAGAAAATAAATTTCTGTTGTTTAAGGAGCGCAGTCTATGGTATTTGGTAATGGCATCCCTAGCAAACTAATGTACCTGGAAAGTTATTAGAACTGAAAAATACTGGTCCCACCTAAAATTTACTGGTTAGAAACTCTGGAGGTGGAGTTCAATAATTTTTGTTTCATCAGGACTTTTGGATGATGTACCCTAACTACTGATTTCAATAACTGATTTAATCTATATTATTGTGGAATTAATTGATATTGCCAGTAAGTTAGATTATTTCAGTAAAGGTCATAAAGGGTCTTCTTTTTTTTCTCAGTAATGAGAAGCCCTAACCCCAGTCCCTCAGTTGTGGTTAATTTTAGATTAGGTGCCATGTGCAGATGAGAAGAATGCATATTCTGCTGTTTTGGGGAGGAGAGTTCTGGAGATATACATTAGGCCCATTTGGTCAAATGTCAAATTCAGGCCCAGGATATCTGTTAATTTTCTGCATCAGTGATCTTTCTAATACTGTCAGTGGCATGCTGAAGTCTTCCACTATTTTTGTGGCATTATCTACACCTCTTCATAGGTCTCTAAGAACTTGCTTTATGAATCTGGGTGCTTCTGTGTTGGGTGCATATATATTTAAGACAGATCTTCTTGTTAAATTGAGCCCTTTAACTATTATGTAATGCCCTTCTTTGTCTTTTTTTGATTTTTATTGGTTTAAAGTATGTTTGGTCTGAAATTAGAATAGAAACCCCTACTTTTTTTTCTACTTTCCATTTGTGTGGTATATTTTTCTCCATCCCTTTCCTTTGAGTCTATGGGTGTCATTGCATGTAAGATGGATCTCTTCAATACTATCATACAGTTGGGTCTTGCTTCTTCAAGCAAATGACTGCTATGTGCCTTTTAATTGGGGCATTTTGCCCATTTAGATTCAGGGTTAATATTGACATTTGCAGGTTTGATCCTGTCATCATGTAGTTAGCTGGTTATTACAATGACTTGATTGTGTGGTTGTTTTATAGTGCCAATGATTTATGTACTTAAGTATGTGTTTGAGGTAGCTGGCACAATTCTTTCCTTTCCATATTTAGCACTTCTTTTAGGATCTCATGTAAGGCAAATCTGGTGGCAATAAATTCCCTTAACATTTACTTGTCTGAAAAGGATCTTATTTGTCCTTCAGTTGTGAATTTCAGCTTGGCTAGATATTAAATTACTGGTTGAAATTTATTTTCTTTAAAATGCTGAATATAGATCCCCAATCTTTTCTAGCTTATTGAGTTTCTTCTGAAAGATCCACTGTTAGCCTGATGGGGTTTCCTATGTAGGTGACCTTCCTCATCTCTCTAGCTGCCTTTAACATTTTTCTTTCACTTCAACCTTGGAGAATCTGATGACTATGTGTCTTGAGGATGATTTTCTTGTATAGTATCTTGCTGGGGTTATCTGCATGAAAAACATCTTGTATATCCATACTTTATGGGGAATATAAAAAAAAACAAACAAAAAACTCAACAACCAATGTTTACTAAAACAAAAAAAAAGGAAAATTGAAGAAATATTTTAAAAACTAATAGAATACCTGAGCTATAAAAGATTAACCAATGTTAATTTCCTTTATATTTGGAGATTGATACCAGAAGAGGTCAGGATAGGGGATGAAGATAATTTAACTAGCTAAATAGTTTACACTTTTTCTTTTTATATTATACAAAATGAGGAGAAGCATCGGTATGCTGAGGAAGGAAAGAATGATATAGCTTCTCCAAGAATCTGTGAGAATAAAAGACAAATCAGGGCCAACTGACAGAGCTCTCAATGGCCAAAACTGAAAATATTTAAGCAGCAATATAAAGTATTATTGGATTATAATCCAAAGTATAAAATAAATATTCTGATACAAAGAAATGACTGAATGAATAAGCAAATTTATTAATAAATGGTGATAGACAAATCTCCCATGCAGAAGAATTCCAAATAACCTAAGTAATTTACCCTTGAGCAAGTGAAGCATAAGTTCCAACTGTTTAAGTGTGAGCTGCACATAGTTATTTTCTTTTTTTTTTTTTTCTTCTTTGAGACAGAGTCTCACTCTGTCTCCCAGGCTGGAGTGCAGTGGTGCGATCTCAGCTCACTGCAAGCTCCACCTCCCGGGTTCACGCCATTCTCCTGCCTCAGCCTCCCAAGTAGCTGGGACTACAGGGGTCCGCCAACACGCCCGCTAATTTTTTGTATTTTTAGTACAGACAGGGTTTCAGCGTGTTAGCCAGGATGGTCTTGATCTCCTGACCTCGTGATCTGCCCGCCTCAGCCTCCCAAAGTGCTGGGATTGCAGACTTGAGCCACCGTGCCCAGCCACGTAGTTATTTTCATCCAGAATATGGAAAGAGGAAAAATAGTAATCTTACGACTATTTTATGATACAAAAACTTAGCCAAGTGATATAGATTATCACCAACAATGATAAGTCATTTGGATAATATGTACTCCTGCTGTGATGTGATGAGAACGACATTTTACCTTTACGGTCTTCTTTTAAAAAAAATTGTAATTTAAGAGTAATCATGAGGAAAACAACAGATAATTCCAACTGAAGTATATTCTACAAAAAAAAAAAAAAATTGGTATTGTTTACCACCATCTAGGTTATCCAGAATAAGTTTGAGAAACTATTACTGTCAAAAGAATCCCAAGGGAACATAACTAAATGTCATGTGATATTCTAGATGGGTTCATGGAAGCAAAGAATATTAGATTAAAATATGAGAAACTGGTTTTCTGGCCTGGCGCAGTGGCTCACGCCTGTAATCCCAGAGCTTTGGGAGGCCAAGGCATGTGGATCATGAGGTCAGGAGTTCAAGACCAGTCTGGCCAACATGGTGAAAGCCGGTCTGTACTAAAAATAGAAAAAATTAGCCGAGTGTGGTAGGGCACACCTGTAATCCCAGCTACTTGGGAGGCTGAGGCAGAGAGTTGCTTGAACCCAGGAGGCGGAAGTTGCAGTGAGCCAAGACTACGCCACTGCACTCCAGACTGGGCAAAAGAGCAAGACTCTGTCTCAAAAAAGAAAAAAAAAAAAGAAAGAAAGAAACTGGTTTTCTAAAAAGTAAGAAAATCTGAATAAAGTATGGCTTTAGTTAATAATACTACATCAATATTGGTTCACTACTTATGAAAAAATATACTACATTAACATATATTAATAATAAATTGATGTATGTTTATGTGAACGCAGTAAAGTCTTGTAATTTTTCTGTAAATTGAAAATTTTTAATATAGAATGTTTATTTAAAAAGAGAAATGAGTTTAGCATGGGAACATGGTTTTATAAATATAGAAGCACTGTATATGTAAGAGATTGTTGTTATCATCTGCCAAAATATTTAGAAATCAAATATCATGAGCTTTGAGATAAAAGAGTTCCGGAGAGAGACTTCATAGTGAAGTCTGGAAACAGGAGAGGTGGCCATTTAATGGCTATGTGACCTTGTACAGACAACTTAATTTCTCTGAGATGTGATATTATTTATAAGTATTAATCATGATGTCTTCCCTGACTAATTTAGAAAGTTCTATTTTTGAGGAAACATTTGGGAATTGTAAATGAGCATATACGATTTAAGGCAATACTCTTATTGTGATTTTTTAAAATGTTGTTAATATTATTTAAAACTCTGATGGAAAATGTGGATATTTAACAACCAGATCTGAGAGAAAAGGAATTACAGTAAGAAAAACTGAACAACTGTGAAGAAAGGGGAGTTTAAAGTGCAATGATGAAGTCCATATTCGTTATATTTAGGGTGAATTCTATATAGTCAGGTTCAGCTTTATTCACTAATTTATGAAAATCTTACATGAGGTATTTAATATTTATGAAATTAATTGATGCATATGTGATGAAATATGCATGTTTAAGGATCATCCTAGTTATTGCATGGAGAAGGACTGGAAAAGGAGCAAGACTGAAGGCAGAGGAACCAATTTTGAGGCTGAGAGGCTACTGGAGTCAACAACACAAGAGATGAATGGTGTTTTATCTAAATTTGTGACAGAGGGTTGAAAAAATGAATGAATTCGAAACATATATGAGAGATAGAATTGTTGCAACTTGGTAATGCATCAGATTGGAGAGTAAGAATGAAGCAGATATCAAGAACAAATGTTAGGTGGGATCATTTACTGAAACAGAAAATAAAGAAGTAAATTTACAGTAGAAATACAACATGTTTACTTTAAATATGTTGGGTTTGAAATATTTATAGGACATTGAGGTGGACCCACCTAATATGTACTTTTCTATACATCTCTAAATATTAAGAGAATGCTACCAGCCAGGGATATATACGCAACAGACTGTGAGCATATAGGATAATTAATAATTACATTTTCGGTTATGAAAGAGATAATGAGAAGAGAGTAGGACTATGAGAAGAAAGCCAGAGACTGAGGTATGAAATCATCTCATAAAGAACCCTTAATTCCTGGTTAAAGTCCCATCTATTTAGCAACTGCAATATTGCCCCAATCAATTTTTTTTAACCTCACTAGTGTTTACACAAAGATGCAACAAAAACTAGACTGCTCTAATCTGTTCCAAACAAAAATATTGTATTTTTAACGTTGCCTTGTCATTCTGCTCTTTTGTCTTTGAATTCCACCATTCATCCAAGGAGCAATTCATTTAATTATTTACATTTTTATTGAGACATCAATCTGCTAGTGGAATCTTACTGAGGGCATTCCATATAGAATGTTGTGACTCTTCATATGCCATGTCATGCAGGTCCTTCAAACCACCTTGAACTCTGTAATATGTAATATGCCTTAGTCATGCTTTAGGGTTCCCATTGTCTATCAATTCATCTATACTTGCCGTAAAACTCAGGACACACTTAAACTTTATCTTGCCTTTTAATGTTTCTTATTTTTTGGTGCATGTGTGTAGTGTCTTCTTGTAGGTTGTAAATAACTAGACTGCAGGGAACACTCCCATTCTTCACTTCACCTAGCAAAGTACCTTGCCATTACCTATTTGCTGATTCATTGATTAATTTTTTGACTAAGAAAAATAATCTATATTTATTAAGAAAAAGGAGGAGGATGTGCAAGCTTGAGAGAGTAGTTCATAAAAAACAAGATAGTTCTATTTCATGCTTTCTGTGGTGAGTCAAATGGTGATCATTTCTTGTGTTAATGATGAAGAGAAATAGAATTTGTGATTACATGACAACGAAATGTATTTTCTATTTTCAGTTCATACCAATAAAATAGTTATAGAGTTAAGCATTTTTAAATTATGGGGTTTTTTTGTCTTCCAATAGCCACAATATTTATAACATCTCTTGGGGGTATACTTTAAGAGGATTCTGTATGTCAGACTTCATGGCAGGATGGCTTTCCTTGCCATCAACAGATTTAGGGAGATGTCATCATCAATTTCCACCTTCAAATAGGTCACTTCATGGTCAATAAATGCAAACTCACTTTAACAAATTAAAAACTCTCTGGTGTAATAGTCTCCCTCTCTCCGTCTATGGAAACCATTATGAGAGTTTGACCTCCAAAAAGCACCCCATTGATTCTGACTTGAATCAAGATATGGCTGGCCCCAGAAAGCCCTTTTCCCAACCTCAACAATAAAGAATTCTTTCTTTTGGAAATGTCTCCAAACTTGTCCCCTGTAGCCAACCAAGGACTGCCAAATATACCTGAAAACTAGTTTGAAATCTCTCTGTTACCAAGACATAAGGGATTTGGTCTAGGTCCTGCTGCTCACCTCAAAGAAAACCAATCACTGAGACAAGGATTATTGCCAAGGAAGAAGGCTGTGATTGGGTGCCACAGCCAAGGAGATGGGAGATCAGTCTCAAATCCAACTCCCTGACCAACTAAAATTGGGGGTTTATTTAGCAGGGAAGAAATATAACCATGTGTGAGAAAATGAAAACTCAGGAGTGGCAAGAAAGCAATCATGATGAATGAGGGACCTTGAGTCTCAGTGTCTGGATACCATCATCATGTGAATTTCAGTTCTTTGAGACTTTTTGAGAGACCTGGGGTTCTTTCCTTTGGAGGGAACTGAGATAAAACAAATGTAAATGTCAAGCTTTAAGACCAGAAAGGTCAATTTCTATATTTAGTTTCAAAAAAACAAAAAACAAACAAAAAAACCTGTCTATGGATCCATTGGGTCAGTTTCACCTCCAAACTCCCTTCCAAAAACCTCATCTTCAAAGAACAATTGCTTTGTTCATGGGATGTATCAGTATTTCTTTTTAGTACTCTATAAAATGTACTATTTTCTAATATCTGTGAACTCATGCAACAGATGAGTTCCCTTGCCATACTTTTGAAATAAGCAGTCTTTAATAATTTTGTCTTGAATTTAAATTTATTCTTGGACATAAATGCATAATAATAAATGTAAGTGTCCTACATTGTATTTTTAATATATATTTTTTGAATTATTTAAATTAACAGTATAAATGGTTGAGAAATTGTGATTCTTTTTAGATGGAATTTTAACAACCCTTTAGTTAGGCTGCCTCTTGTTATACATTCATTGATGTGCATTCAATATTCTTATTACATACTGGATCAGAATTAGGTTCATAGTTCTTTAATTCTTTGCAACACAGACAAAATATCACGGTGACATTTTCCATATATTATATCCTGATGCACCTGAGCATAATCTCTGGAAACTTTCCGGTTTTTGATGAGTCTCATTACAGCCTTAGATAATGGTTTTTCTTTGTGTCTAGATACAGGTTTCCAGGCTAAACCTTTAATTTTGTAGCAATTGAAAGGTTAACACCTTCTATTAACAGAAGAACTATATTGTGGTAATAAGAAACCATTGCACCTCTGCTGGGTAATGTCTAAACACAAGGAGCTTTACATGTCAGAGTTACCTGGTGTAGAAGTTAATACGAAAGATTTTAACACACCTCTATTCTGTTTTCTCTAGCTTTTCAATTGTATTCCAAATAGCAAGCTGTTAACCTTTCAGGTCCTAGTCTATAATTTGTATTCTGGCTAACAGCTGATTTACTTTACTGAAAGTTTTGCTGATGTAAGGAGCAAAGGATCAAGAGTTTAATGGACACACACACACAAAAAGCCCAACTCTATGCATTTAAATCTATCTTATATCAGAAGAACTTATGATAAATTTACAGCAATAAAATGTCAAGGTGTTAATAAGAATTAACAGGTTTCCGTGTGATTATATGACAGAATCACAGCCCAAAATATCACCTTTTTGCTGGAACTGGGAAAAACACACTGAACAGATGCATCCAGAAAGATAACCATTGTAAAAAGCATCTGTCTAAACTCTAAGTGTAAATTATTCTTTAAAAAGAGTCCACTTTCAGCCGGGCACGGTGGCTCATGCCTGTCATCCCAGCACTTTGGGAGGCCGAGGCGGGCAGATCATTAGGTCAGGAGATTGAGACCATTCTGGCTAACATGGTGAAACCCCGTCTCTACTAAAAATACAAAAAAATTAGCAGGGCGTGGTGACGGGCGCCTGTAGTCCCAGCTACTCCGGAGGCTGAAGCAGGAAAATGGCGTGCACCCGGGAGGCCGAGCTTGCAGTGAGCCAAGATCACGCCACTGGACTCCAGGCTGGGCTACAGAGCGAGACTCCGTCTCAAAAAAAAAAAAAAGTCCACTTTGAAAATATGACATCAGAAGAGACTTAAGCATTGAAATACAGTTCCCACTTGCATTTAATGATGCTTTTACTTTAAAAAAATAGACAACCTGTTTCCAGATACAAATATGCTTAATTTTTTTAAATTAAAACTGCTAAGAAACAGATGCCCCTTTATGTACCTCTCACATAGGGACAGACAATTTTAAAGTTATAGGCCTTCTTGTTTTAAATCAAAGAGATCGTATTGATTCTCTTTACTGACTCCACAAATCAGACCTTTGCCTTCGTTGTTTTCAGCTGTGTATTTAGCATTAATTGCTTTTAGCCTCACGTCTTACTACTTTCTTAGATTGTAATCTCCATGTGGTCAGGAATCTTTTTTTACCCTTCATTGTATTGTGTCCGGAATTGGTGGGTTCTTGGTCTCACTGACTCCAAAAATGAAGCCACGGACCCTCGCAGTGAGTGTTACAGTTCTTAAAGAGGGCGTGTCCGGAGTTTGTTCCTTCTGATGTTCGGATGTGTTTGGAGTTTCTTCCTTCTGGTGGATTCGTGGTCTCGCTGGCTTCAGTAGTGAAGCTGCAGACCTTCGCAGTGAGTGTTACAGCTCTTAAGTCAGCGCATCTGGAGTTGTTCGTTCCTCCCGGTGGGTTTGTGGTCTTGCAGGCCTCAGGAGAGAAGCTGCAGACCTTCGTGGTGAGTGTTACAGCTCATAAAGGCAGTGTGGACCCAAAGAGTGAGCAGCAGGAAGATTTATTGCAAAGAGCAAAAGAACAAAGCTTCCACAGGGTGGAAGGGGACCCGAGCGGGTTGCCACTGCTCACTCAGGCAGCCTGATTTTATTCCCTTATCTGGCCCCACCAACATCCTGCTGATTGGTCCATGTTACAGACGGCTGATTGGTCCATTTTGACAGGGTGCCGATTGGTGCGTTTACAATCCGTGAGCTAGATACAAAAGTTCTCCAAGTCCCCACTAGATTAGCTAGACACAGACCACTGACTGGTGCATTTACAAACCTTGAGCTAGACACAGGGTGCTGATTGGTGCACTTACAAACTTTGAGCTAGTTACGGAGTACAGATTGGTGTATTTACAATCCCTTAGCTAGACATAAAGATTCTCCAAGTCCCCACCAGACTCAGGAGCCCAGCTGGCTTCACCCAGTGGATCCCGCACCAGGGCTGCAGGTGGAGCTGCCTGCCAGTCTCGCACCATGGGCCCGCACTCCTCAGCCCTTGGACGGTCGATGGGACTGGGTGCCGTGGAGCAGGGAGGCTCGGGCCACGCAGGAGCCCACAGCGGGTCGGGGGAGGGTCAGGCATGGCGGGCTGCAGGTCCCAAGCCCTGCCCCACGGGCAGCTAAGGCCCAGCGAGAAATTGAGCGCAGCAGCTGCTGGCCCAGCTGCTAAGCCCCTCACTGCCCAGGGCTGGCCGGCCGCTCCAAGTGTGGGGCCCACCGAGCCCATGCTCGCGCTGGCCCACAAGCGCTGCGCACAGCCCCAGTTCCTGCCCATGCCTCTCCCTCCACATCTCCCCACAAGCTGAGGGAGCCGGCTCCCACCTTGGCCAGCCCAGAAAGGGGCTCTCACAGTGCAGCGGTGGGCTGAAGGGCTCCTCAGGCATGGCCAGAGTAGGCACCAAGGCCGAGGAGGCGCCAAGAGCGAGCGAGGGCTGCGAGGGCTGCCAGCACACTGTCACCTCTCAGTATCTTGTAGAATCTACCAGATAATTTATAACATAGTTATTTTAAAAAAATAGAATTATTGCATAAAGATAAATAAATATAAGTAAGTCCTTTGGCATTGTAATCCTGTACATGCATCCTTACGTGTTTATATAGGAGGCTCCTTACTATTCATGTATTTGGTTTTCTATTATAGGATGTTATTTTTTCAAGATAACACTTGATCTCTGAGCACATCTATGTTTACTTCCACCCAATTGGTTTATTGGAAAAGAAAGTCAGAATGTTTGTTATACAGTACTTTTGTGTCTGGAATTGGTGGGTTCTTGGTCTCCCTGACTTCAAGAATGAAGCCGCAGACTCTCACGGTTAGTGTTACAGTTCTTAAAGACAATGTGTCCAGAGTTTGTTCCTTCAGATGTTCAGATGTGTCCAGTTTCTTCTTTCCAATGGGTTCGTGGTCTTGCTGACTTCAGGAGTGAAGCTGCAGACCTTCGTGGTGTTGAAGTTCATAAAGGTGATGCGTCCAGCATTGTTCGTTCCCCCCATCTAGAATTGTTCATTTCTGCTGGTGGGTTTGTAGTCTCGCTGGCTTCAGGAGTGAAGCTGCAGACCTTTACAGTGTTACAGCTCTTAAAGGCGGCGCAAACCCAAAGAGGGAGCAGTAGCAAGATTTATTGCGAAGAGCGAAAGAACGAAGCTTCCACAGCATGGAAGGGGTCCCAAACCTGTTGCTGCTGCTTGCTCAGGTGGCCTGCTTTTATTCCCTTATCTGGCCCCACCCACATCCTACTGATTGGTCCATTTTGACAGGGTGCTGATTGGTGCATTTATGAACCTTGAGCTAGATACAAAAGTTCTCCAAGTCCCTACTAGATTACCTAGACACAGAGCACTGATTGGTGCATTTACAAACCTTGAGCTAGACACAGAGTGCTGATTGGTGCATTTACAAACTTCGAGCTAGACACACAGTGCTGATTGGTGTATTTACAAACCTTTAGCTAGACAGAGAGTGCTGTTTGGTGCCTTTACAATCCTTCAGCTTACAATCCTTCAGCTAGACACAAAAGTTCTCCAAGTCCCCACCGGATTAGCTAGACACAGAGCACTGATTGGTGCATTTACAAACCTTTAGTTAGACACAGAGTGCTGATTGGCACGTTTACAAACCTCTAGCTAGACACAGAGTGCTGATTGGTGCGTTTACAATCCTTTAGCTAGACACAAAAGTTTTCCAAGTCCCCACCCAACCCAGAAGCAGCTCTCAATGGCACTTGGCTGCCGGACTTTGTGTCACCTAGCCCGGGCACTTGGCAGCCCAGAGGGAGCTCCTCCCCTGATCAAGCCCAGCAGGTGGGAAGATGAAGCCCAGCAGGCACGGAGTGTGGGCGGGCAGAGTGCAGACCTGCTGAGCCCGTGCCCACCTGGAACCTGCACCAGCCCCAGAGCGCTGAGCACAGCCCCGGCTCCCGCCTGCGCCTCTCCCTCCACACCTCCGGGCGAGTAGAGGGAGCAGGCTCTGGCCTCGGGCCAGCCTCAGAGAGGGGCCCCCACAGCGCAGCGGCGGGCTGAAGGGCTCCTGGAGCGGCGTCAGAGCGGACGCCGAGGCCGAGGAGGCCCCGAGAGTGAGAGAGGGCTGCTAGCACATTGTCACCTCTCACAACATAGAATTAAATGTCCAACTTTTTTATTTTGCTTTTTAATTTATAATTGTAGATTCTTGCAGACACAATCTGATTGGCCAACTCCTGCAGGTTAACAGAGCCATCAAAAGAGACGTAGTTAGGACCCAGAATTCTCCAAGGCCATGTCTGATGATTAGCACAAAATAGTTTGCTGCTGATACTATCAAGAGTCCTCTCCACCTTGTCAACTCAATTTCTTGCTTCATTGCTTTGAACCGCTATGGGACAGCAGGAGTTTAAGGGATGTCAACAAGAACACACTTGTTCTCTCAGGAATTTAGTACAAGAGGATAAACACTTACACAGCTGGCCAGACTAATAGGTATAGAAGTGTGTGAATTAAGTGTTTAATAAATGCATGAACATTTTATTATACAGGGTCCAAAGGACCTTCCTCAGAATTATTGAATTTGACTGAACTATGTGGAGTCTACTTGGTGTAATTTCTTCTTAAAAACAAAGTTATACATTCTTTCTTACACAATCATCATGTTGAATACATTAAACACTAACACATATGGCTGTATTTTGTCATATATTTCTGTGAAAACTCAATAATGACAAAACTCAAAATGAAAATTCAGAGAAATAACTTCAGTTGATTTTTTTCTATTTTGTGTATTTGCAATGAATAATGTTTATGAGCAATTTAGGCCCCACAGTGGAAAATCAGAAAGCTCTACAGGTATTTTCTGTATTCTTTTGAATATTTGTCTGTACAAACGCTATCTTTGTTAATGAATCTTCATTCTTCAAAAAGTGTTACGGGCTGGGCACAGTGGCTCATGCCTGTAATCCCAGCACTTTGGGAGGCCGAGGCGGGTGGATCACCTGAGGTCAAGAGTTTGAGACCAGCCTGACCAATATCATGAAACCCCATCTATACTAAAAATACAAAAATTAGTTGGGCGTGGTGGTGTGCACCTGTAGTCCCAGCTACTTGGGAGGCTGAGACCAGAGAATTGCTCGAACCCGGGGGGCAAAAGTTGCAGTGAGCCGAGATTGTGCCATGGTACCCCAGCCTGGGTGACATAGCAAACTCCATCTCAAAGGAAAAAAAAAATGTTACAGAAGACCAAACTACCAAACTTAGGCACCGGAAATCTGTGGAACACAAAGCTGTTACTTTTATCGTAGGTGAACAAACTACAATTTACCTGGCAGAGTGTTCAGCTATACTATCTAGCCCTTGAATGGATATCATATTAGTTTCACAAAAGCTTTTACTTGAACCTATAAGAGGCTCAGTGGTTTAAATGAAAATCAGCATTATTGAATTACCACTTTTCTAACATACCTGCAAAAAGATGATCATGATTGTGTGGTTAGGGTTGGGCTTTGAGCTATCGATTGTTACTGCTAGACCCATACTCAGGTCTTTCAGATAGAGTTTATTAGTTAGAATTCAAGCAATATCATTCGACTTTTTGTATTTTCACTGGCAGATGTAACAAAACTTACCCTTAAAGTGTAGGATATCTGACTAATTGAAAAACAGGGTAAAGGGTTAAAATCTACTTAGGAAGATAAGCCTTAAAGCACAACACTGAAGTGAGAAAATGAACATGACAGCATTTTACCAGTCCCCCAAAACTGCTGAAATTCACTTTCAAAAATACAACAAAATGGAAATAACTGGTTCAAAAATATTAAGCCTCTATTTTCTCAATTTGGAGAAAAATTGTTTTTTACCTACAGCTGGTGAATATTTTATAAATAGCATTTTACACTATTTAAGCCCACTGGCAGCAATAGATTCCTTTTCTGTGGAAACACTGTTAAAGTCTATTTAAAGTATTGGAACATTTTATGAGGTCGGGAGGAATTAGACTGTGTATATTTAATTTCCTCATTTCACACACACTGTTATCATTACTGATAAAATCACGTCGACTATGTCTAAAATACTTAGGGTAACCTACTTGACTGTTGTTTATTAGTGTGTAGAAAAAATATCCTTTTGTTTCTTAAGTTTACTTCTCATCTTTAAATAGTTTGAATTAGGTTGAGTCCTAAAATGAGAACATTGCACAGAACAAGTTCTCAGCAAAATTTTTGATAAATGTAAAGTTTTTCTCTGCCTCTTCCTTCTCTGATACCCTATTCAATAATTTGTCATGCCTTTTCTCAAACAGACCTTTAGCTTCATTTCCAACTCTAGGTATATTGTCCCTTGATGTTCTTTATTTTCTGAAAGGACTATTCCTTCCTTCTCTTTTCTACCCATAACCTCCATTAAAATGCTCGTATTTTTCAGTGAAATGAAGGAAAAAGTAATCAGATTTTAAAAGGTGAATAAGAATCTTTTGAAGTATTAGATTTTTTTAAGAACAGATTTTCTTTGCACAAAAGACCTATCATCAGTAATAATTTTCTTAACAGAGAGTTAAACTAAATTATTTTTTAATATCCATTTTCCCTCAAAATACTAGAAAAAAAATAAACTAAAATGAACCATTAAAAGGTTTGTAAAGATCAATTTGTATAAAAGATCAGATAAATTTTAACAACAGGCATCAGTTTCAACGCTTAGACAACTACACAGTTTTCTTACAAAATTATCCCTTCTTGGTGTTTTGGGATAAATAATAAGACATGAAATGGAAAGTGGTCAGGCCTGGTGAGGTGGCTCACGCCTGTAATCCCAGCACTTTGGGAGGCCGAGGTAGGAGGATCACAAGGTCAGGAGTTTGATACCCGCCTGACCAACATGGTGAAACCCCCGTCTCTACTAAAAATACAAAAATTAGCCGGGCGTGGTGGCAGGCGCCTGTAATCCCAGCTACTCAGGAGGCTGAGGCAGGAGAATCGCTTGAACCCAGGAGGCAGAGGTTGCAGTGAGCCGAGATCACGCCACTGCACTCCAGCCTGGATGACAGAGTGAAACTGTCTCAAAAAAAAAAAAAAAGGAAGTGGTTAAATTCTGAAATAGAAAAATGAAAGTTACAAAACTGAGTAAAAACTTAATATGAGCACAAATAGACTCCATAAGAGTAAGAGCCATTTTAGTCTTGCATTACTAAGGCTTTATTTTATCTAAGCCCTGAATTTTCATTCCAAAAGTATGATTTCAGTTTTAAAATTTTTCTGTTTATATGCCCCTCAAATATTCCCCTCAAAAAGTTAACATAACATATATATCATATTGGAGTCTGTACTATATTTAAAGCATGCTAATCCACCTTAATTTAGTATTATAAGTATATTTTAGTATAAATTGTTCTTATTAATAAACGTTTTTCATAGTAAAGAATCCTACTATATGAATTCTGGGTGGAAATAAAACAAATATTGCTGTTTATAAGCTTATTATTTAACTCTGCAACCACTGTGACACTATATATACAATAGAGAAATTTTGTATTATCAAATCTCTCACAAACCAGTGTCACAGAGTAGATTATCGCTTTGGGCATAAGAAATAGCAAACCTATGACATTAGTTAAAAACTTTGTAACCAGATCATCATATCTCACACAAAATCCACAGTTGAATTAATTTGCTTTTCTATTTTCAGATTCTGCTACCCCACTCCCATCTATGCTGGTCTGCTGAAAAAACAAAACACGCTTGAAATAGCATATAGAAAATAAAATTTGCAACTTGTAGTCACAATTTGCTTTGACACTCTATTAAATATTGGAGTTAAAAAGAGTTCTCCATAGATCTGAATAAACATTTACTTTACATTTGCTTCCAGTTATTAGATTTTTGCAACAAAAAATTTAGCAGTCAAATTCAATTATTTGAGTTCTGAACAATGGCTTAGTCATGTAAAAATACTATAGAGGTAAATGATGGTTATTACTCCAATATATCTTGGTGTTAGTTCAAAGTTACTCTTTCAAATAATGTTGATAGAACTTTCCAGAAGAATTTAACATTTTATTTTGGGAGAGAGATTATCACATACTGCATTATTTACCAATCCAATTACTTAGTTATTAGGTTGTATTTTCAATTCCTTTTGTTGTCACTAATGGACTGATTTGTCCTGTGTAATGCATTCAGTCTTTGACCATTATAAAATAGAAACTAAAACGAGAACACTAAAACACCTTCACTTTCATTAAAGGCGAAGCCTCCTAAAATCATATCACATGTGAGCGAACACAAGCTGTTTAGTGCGATAACATAGATTCAACTCAATTTCTAGATCTTTTGACTTTGTATACCTCTATATTCTCAACCGTTAAATGACAAAAGAAAGAATGCATATCTTAAGCTCTCTAGCGATGTTGGAGGTTTAAAAAGATAATGTATCAGAAGTTTTTGTGAAGTTCTACATACATAAAAATTAGAATCACTGGAGTCCCGTTAGAGATAGGGTAAATAGGAACTCAGTATCTGTTGGTCACCAATATTAATTGAGCTTTTACAGTGAAGTAGGTAGTGACAAACATAGCAGACAAAGCCTTCAATCAGAAAGCTTACATTAATGGAATAAGAGCCGGGAATACAAGCAACAAAATAAAAAGGACAAACTATTATATTTTAGTTAATGATGAATGTTATGAGCTAGATTAAACATCATAATGTAGCTATTTATTGATTCATATAAAATAACCATATTTGTGGTTTGGATAGTGCCACCCAAGATAACTCGTTGTGTTTCAGTGGTGGTCTGCTTTTGGATAAAAAAAATTATATGCTATTTTTTCTTGATTTATATCTACATAAAGAAATTATTTTACTTGAAATTACATGCCTATTAATTTTGTCTTGCCTGTTTCCTATGTTTTATAATTTAAGGCTTACATGACTTTTGACTCATTGTGCCCAGATCAGCAAGTTTAACATCAGCCACATTTTAATGAATATGTAGCATAATCAAAATATTTAAAATAAAGATACTGCTTGGAAAGAACTTTTAAGATGTATTGGAGGAACAGCTGCAGAATCAAGATTAACCCTCCCAACATCTTTGACCAGAGAATATTGGAAAAATGTTTTTGTCCTTGATTCACCCACTCAAATTGCTTATTACTCCATTAGAAGGCTTTCTAATAACATCAGGGCCAGATGAAAGTTAGGGCCAGATATGGACATTTGGTATGAATTGTTGGTACCTGAGAAATCAGAGACTGAAACATCCAGTATGAAAAATGTAATTGAATTTGACCTGCCTTCTGGGAAGATTCATAGTCTGTTTCTACACTGTGAAAATATGCAGTGGAAATCTAATCAGTTACCTTAGATAATCCATGCAAAATAAATAAATAAATAAATAAATAAATAAATAAATAAATAAATAAATAAAGGAAAAGAAAGCTCTACACTATGTCAATTGAGAAATTGTTCAACCATCCATCTAGGAAATAGACCTACATCGAGGTCAATTGGAATCAGTTACACCTTGTTTTTGAATTTATGACACTATAATACATACTCAGTAAGTTATAAGTGAAGTTACATATGGCCCATTTCTAAGATTTTTTTCTCATAACCTAAAAAATAAATCTAATCTTATATATATTTTCATTTTTTATTTGAAATAATAGCATTTTGTGATAGGTCAAAATATGCAGCATTTTCCTGAAATTTCTCATATTGTTATATTGATTCTCCTTCCCCATACAGCTTTTATTGGTCGTTAAATTCTTACTGGTAAAGGAAATTTCTCTGTTGTGGGTTTTAGCAACTACCACCAAAAAAAATTTGTCTGTCTAATAGTTTGCCATTCCATAAATGTGCTATCAAAAGTCAGTTTGCAGGCTCAGTCCTCCACTTAGCAAAAGAGTTGTACTGTAATAAATCTTCTGTTGTGATTACAATGCAACAGAAATTCAATACAAAGAAGATTTGAGGCCCATAAAAATCAAATGTATAGTGAAAGGATGATGATAGTCTTGTAAACCGCTACACACAAAAAAATGTAGAGTTTGAGTACTTAGTCACCCTTTTGACTTTTTCTAAAAAGTAACATATTTATTTAACAATTTTCATTAGCAAATAGGCAATTTTCGTTGTAGGGTTTTTTCTCTCACTAGTCCAAAATTAACTGTTTACATAAATGATTTTTGTCCCATTTTTTCCCTCCTCAACCATTTTAAAGACAAGGATTTTTGTTTTTGCTTCATAGTAATTATGTTAGGAGCAAAGATTTTAAGGAAAGTACCAAAAACAAGTAACTCAGACCCCAAAGCTTTGCAATGTGTACTTAAACTGGCTATTAATTAGAAACTTCATTCTTGTTCTTCAGTCATCCAATTTACATGACTGTCTTCGCATTACGAATGAAAAATCCAAAGTTCAGTATCTGCAACATAGACTGTAGTTCTAATTATTTATATGGGACCTATACCCTTGAACATTTTGAATATAAATTGAAAAGTGTAAATCATTAATTTTTGAAATGCAAAAATGTAAATGCTATCTAACTAAATTTTGTATTTGTATTTATTTGTAAAACCTATCATTAGGTCCTACTCAATTTTCACAAACATTTTATTTAACACAATGTTGTACACCTACTGAAAGTGAGTACTTAAGTTAGAATGTCTATTTAAGTGTTGTGCCAGTCATATGCTTATAAGGAAATTTCCTGTTTCCATAGGGGTTCCTAAACAAATCTTTGGCAAACTGCAAAGGTTAAGATAACTTATTTAAAAATAACATTGTTCTACCATCAGATAATACACCTATGGTTTTAAATGCCTCTGAAAGATGTGGCAATATGTCCGAAAGATGACAGGTCGGAGAAACTCCAAAAAGCTATTATACTATTCTATCAGAGTTATTGTGAAATATCAGAGGCAATATAAATAGTTTCAGTTAATTATTTGCTTTTCATGAAATAATAGAGACTCATTTCATAATAGCATGAAATAATAGAGAATTATTTTATGAAATAATTGCATAATGTGACTCTGTAAATTATACTGATGGAGTGAGGTGGTGACAGAATGTCAAAATTAAATTTAAAAAATTAAGATTCAGAATGTTAAAAATGAGATTATCCTTAGTAATTACCTAGTCCAAGTGGCTCATTTGAAAAAAAAAGAAGAAATTGAAGCCAACAAAGAAAAACAGGATCTCATAATCACGTTGAAAATGGTTACCACTTATCAATCATGTATTATGTTCTCATCACTGTGCTAAACACTAAATATTTTATAGTCCTTAAAGTAGGAATTTTTAAAAGAGAAAATTGAAACTAAGAAAAGTTTAAGTTGTTTAAGATGACATGGCTGGTATGTGTTGCAGCTTGGACTTACATATGGCCCTGCTTTACTCCAAATTCCAGACTTGTTGCTCCTTTCTCACGGTGCTTAGGATTACATGTGCCTTAATGTGTGATGAGCCTCCTGACTTGTATTAATACTTTCGCTTCTGCACTGATATGAGTAATTTCCCTCAAAAAGCCAGAGTGCGATGAGAAATAGAAAACAAAACAAAACAAAATTGAACACATACATTCAAGCAGTAAGCAGATATGTCACTTATTTTAAAAATGTTTTAACTAAGATTGCCATTCCATATTAATGTTGATGTTATATCCCTAGAGAATTCAACTACAGGGACAATTTCTGTCTCTGTTTCTCTCTTTGTAAATTATATTTTGCTTCACTGATGGATGCTGAGGGAAAAGTGCTTTCTATTAAAACTAGTAGGCTTACTTTTTCTTTTTTTTTATTATTATACTTTAAGTTTTAGGGTACATGTGCACATTGTGCAGGTTAGTTACATATGTATACATGTGCTATGCTGGTGCGTTGCACCCACTAACTCATCATCTAGCATTAGGTATATCTCCCGATGCTATCCCTCCCCCCTCCCCCCACCCCACAACAGTCCCCAGAGTGTGATGTTCCCCTTCCTGTGTCCATGTGATCTCATTGTTCAATTCCCACCTATGAGTGAGAATATGCGGTGTTTGGTTTTTTGTTCTTGCGATAGTTTACTGAGAATGATGATTTCCAATTTCATCCATGTCCCTACAAAGGACATGAACTCATCATTTTTTATGGCTGCATAGTATTCCATGGTGTATATGTGCCACATTTTCTTAATCCCGTCTATCATTTTTGGACATTTGGGGTGGTTCCAAGTCTTTGCTATTGTGAATAATGCCGCAATAAACATACGTGTGCATGTGTCTTTATAGCAGCATGATTTATAGTCCTTTGGGTATATTCTTTATTAAGGCCTTTAATAGGAAGAACTAATAATTGCCATAATTTTTCTATAATTATAGGACTAAATAATAATTTGAGATATCTATAACAACACTAATGTAATACAAGATATCTGTGACTTCTATTGGTGAAGTATTCATAGGAAATGCTGTTACTATTAAAGTTATTCATAATTGAAAAGCTGAATTTCAGTTAGAGGTTTTTGAAAATAAATATATAATTTTTCTTAATCTAAGTTCGTAGTTTTCACAAATTTTAGAGTCTATGGACCCATGTTAAGAACCATGACTAGTCTAAATCCCTCATTTCATGAGTAATGCATTCTTTTGACAGTCTAATTGTTTGTCCATGTAAGTTAGGTGGGTGAAGGAAGGATTGGACTGAATGCTGACTCTCCCAACCCTTATTCCAGTGCTGATGGGCAAAGTACAGTGCCCAAAATAAGTGAAACACCAGGTGTGGGAGGAAACTCACAATAGACACTGCTGGCAAACATCATGAAGTTTATTTTGATGTATCAGTGATATGGTAGGTCTTTCGAATTTCAAGTACTGTGTATGAAATTAAGGATCAACATATTTGTACCTGACCCCACCACTGTTAACATCCATCCCCTTCTTTTTATTTATATCCTTGAGCCACTAATCATTAACTAAAAAAAAAAGAACAAAACAAAAACAAAAAACTTTGGTACTTTTAAAACATATTTACTTTGTCTTTTGCTAACACTTTTACTATTTAGTCTACTAGACTGCAGGCTTCATAAAAACTGAGACTTTCCATTGCCAAATTTTAAGAGAATCCTAACATATTCAGAAAGGATAGAGTCTGCTTCTTTTCTACAGGGAGAAATGGTTCAGTTATTTCTTATCATAGTTGAATGAGATTCAGTCAGATTGACTCCCTTCTGCTGACAAGGAAACAGGTATTGAAATTCAAAAAAATCTTGCAGCCTAAGGGGTACCAGGGATGTTATAGATTATTTAGTACAACTGCCTTATTTTTCTGGATAGATAAACAGATTCTAAGTGATTAGCCAATTATTTCTAAGACCACAGTTCTTGTTAGCAATAGAGTTATTCTGAGAATACTCAATTCCTAACTCCCAAGTTTCATTCTGTTTTCACTGAGCCATTTTGCCTCTTCACAACATTAACACTGTCTACGTTTGACTTATATAATGAAGGTCACCGTACCTATGATCAGAACATGGAAAATCAGTTTATTCGGCTGACAAGTAATACAATTTTACACAGTTTCAAATCTGGCCTTCTTAGAGGCTTTTAGGCAGCACTTCTAGGGTGAAATGGAGAATGCTAGGTGGAAATAAGTTGAAAGGCTGAAATATTGTGACGCAATTCTGACACTGACCACCAAAAGTTAGCACAAGCCCCCAGTAAGACTGATCTCACTTGAGATGCCAGCCACAGTGTTAGGGAGTCCCAGTCCATCTCCACCTGTACTTCTGATGAACTGATTAGAAATTTGGGGATACCTATGACCTTCTCAGTTGTAATAATTTGCTAGAATGACTCACAAAACTCAGGGCAGTTATGACTAATGTTTTATTTGGAAGAATACAAATTAAAACCAGTCAAATGAAGAGACACATAGGGCAAGTCTGGGAGGATCTTGAGCACAGACCTTCCATATCCTCTCCCCATGGAATTCAGATGTATCACCTACCTGGCACATTCATGTGTTCACCAGTCAGGGAGCTCAGCTCAGCTTCAGTTTCTGGATTTTTTTTTTTTTTTAGGTTTCATTATGTAATCATGATTGGTTAAATCGTTAGCCATGTGATTGAACTCAATCTTCAGCTCTCTCCTTCCCAGAAGCCAGGAAGTCAGGCTAATATCATGTGGCTCAAAAGTCCCACATTTCTACCTATATGGTCGATTATTCTGATATGACCAGTCCACACCCTGAGTTATCTCCTTTTCGTAAATTCAAATGTGGTTTAAATCCTACCCTACACTACTCAACCTTTGATTTGTTCCTAGCAACAGAAATATCCCAGTGGTTTATAAGTTTCCATCCAGGAACCATAGAAAAAAACACCAGACTTTTTTTTATTTACAACAATGACATACATATTTAATTAAAGGGATGTGGGGTTTTTGCCCCCCAATACCTGCTATGCTGAGAAGACATTTCACTTAACCTAAGGTAGCCCTAAATAAAGGGTAAGTAGTATTCTACAGACTGTGTGCAATTATGCACACAATAAGTACATTTTCATTACTGCTGATCCAAAATTGCAAAAGCCTCAGTAAAATTTTTGAGTTTCAATCCATTAAAAAAGTAAGACGTACAGAGATGAATAAGTAGCATTTAGTAATAGTCACACACATCATTGAAATAACTAAGCACTTAATTCAAACCCACAAACAGCCCTTCAACTACAAAAAAATCTGGAGCTTGAATCTGACAGAATCCATTAACTGAGAGCATAGTAATAGCCCTACCAATTAATGGTCTGTAAAAGGCCTCCAGATGGCACAGACAAATACACTTAATTATAATCTGTCATTCTTACTTGTACTTAAAATTTCCAGCAATGTAGGACAATCCTGAAATTTATACAGTTAAGAATTTTTGTTGTGGCCATATCAAAATGCAGTTTTCACATCTTACATTCTACTTATTTGACAAACACACAAGTTCCAAAAGTTCTGTGTTTTGTAAAAAATTAAAAAGTTATAAATTTCTAAACCAGAATGTTATCAGACTTTTCAATATTCTCATACAAATTACCTATTCAAAAATCATGTCACACTTAGTAAATAAAGACTAAATAGTATATCAGATTCATTTAAAGGACTTAACAGTGTGCCCATAAAACAAAACAAAATAGACTAAAAGACAAAACAATCTATTTGAATTTGACTTGAGTCATCAAGTAAATGTGTTTTTTCCTTGGTAACCCCTGTTTCTCATGTTATACCAATAACCGTTACTATTAACACACCAAAAGGATTCTTCCCCAAAGAGCTGTGGATTTCTTTGAGGGTCAATCATCTGGTGAATATATTTATCCCAAGGTGGATCAAAATATTGTGATAGAATGGAAGACAGCAATATCACCCGAAGCACAATTGGCCCCATAAGTCCATGTGTTTGGGGCCTGAGCATCACATAGCAACATAGTGACCATTCAGGAAACTCCCCATCTGAGCTCTAGGCCACTATGCAGTGTTGTTCTCAGGTCCGTGGTCTCATTCCATCCCACAATGAGTCTGTGAGCCAGGAATAATAAAGCCCTTTTTTTCTGATGGGAAACTAACATTCAGAGAAAGCAAGTAATTTGCCCAATACTTCACAGCCTTAGGTTTGTTGGTATAACAACAAATGCATAGTATTTATTTCTTAAATGCATAGTATTTATTTCTTAAATGTATAGTATTTATTTCTGAGTTAGTTTTTTCAGATGTGGTTGGCAGCTTTGAAGAACTGGGGAGAAACAAGAGGATCTAGCTGTCATGTAAGGAAGTACAAATGTTCTAAGCTTTACCAAATGTACATGGAAGAAGATGATTGATATGCCTCCTGGAGTGGTCTTAAAATTGTGCTGGAGTACATTGGTAGCTCTAACAATTTGGAAAAAAAGAGAAGTAGAGAGAAAAATAGAGAGAGAATATCTAACATAGATTTATGTTTATGTTAGATAAGCTACTCTGAAAATTATTATCATGAGATTATGTGTTTTCATCAAAATCATCAAATGTTTTGTGTTTTATAAACATTTTGCCACAGTTATTTATCTGGATATTCATACCATATTTAATATTGGAGGACATTCAATGTTTTCATAGATCTTCAGCCTCCATATTATTAACAAAACAGATCCTTTAATCTTTTATGCTTTTTTATAATTCCATATTTTAGGACCCTTGGAAAATTTACAGGACAATATTCCAATTATCTAACCCAAGATCAAAGATTATAATTTGTTTTTAGGTTCTAATTTATAGATTAAATGTAAAACATGTTACGTTAATGAGTGACATTTTTCAAGATTGGATAAAATAAGTTAAATAGCTTTGAGTAATTTTCCAAAAGTGTATAAAATTAAGAGGAATCTTTCATGTATTTCTAACAGATTCGATCTTTACATTTTTGAGACTAAAACACAATGTCTTAATTTTACTCTATTCACCTCAGAGAGTTAAAAAATGGAAATATATATTTACGTATAAATATATGAAATGTATAAATGAAACATGTATCTATATATGATAGCTCACAGAAAATGTCACCCAAGTTTATATTTTCTTACATATTTTTTGTAGACATATTTTACATGATTAGCTTGCTCTAATTCTTTTCAGCAATCGTAGACATTATTTTCATTTTATAATCACTGTTAGCATGCAATCACATATAAGAATTAGATTCTATGAAGAAGTGATTAGACTCTATGGGCAAGTTTTGGTTTTGTTAGCTTTTTGTTTATTTACTTTGTTTTAAGTAGAATTTGTAAAAAGTTGGAAAATTGTCTTCAAGAACTTTGATGCTTCATTTCTTTTCCTTTAAATATTCTAACGTAACAAGCAGAATTCTAATATTTTCAACCCTTTCTTGCAATTTTTTTAAATGTAAAAGACATGTATTGTTCTTTTTCTATAAGCAATTACTGTTTTGGGTATCAGAAAACTGAAAATATATTGGTAAATATATCAGATACAAATCATATAATGTAAAGTGATTTTTCTTCTCAAGCACCAACTCTTTCAATTCCTTCAAATTCCATAATTAATCTATCATTATTCTTTGTGGGTTTTACCTCTAAAATCCAGTCAAAATTGACAGTTTTTACCACCAAATACAAGCTATCATCATACCTAGTCTGAACTACTAAAACCAACTTCTAAATTTTTTACAGTCTTTATCCCCATAAAGATTTTTTGTTTTTAAATACAATTTTTCTCAAAACCTTTCAAATACCTCCTATTAATTCAAATCTGCCTATTTATATCTATCTACCTATCTACCTACCTACCTGTCTATTTTTAAATCTTCTAGTTATATTTGAAGTAAACATGGTAATGTTAAGCAATTGAATATTATTCTTAAGGGTCAAATCTGTTGGAAATATCATAAGGATTTCTCTTAATTCTATACACTTTTGGAAGATTCCTTATACTACTTAACTCCTTGTTTCATCCAACCTTGAAAAGCACCATTCATAAATGCCAATTCCTTGTCATAGTACACAAAGTCTCACTTAACCTGGCCTTGTCCACATCTTAGACTACATTTCCTTCAGCTCTGGCCACATTGGACAGGCTGGTATTCCTGCAACAATTTAAGTGTGTACCTTTTTCAGCTTTCATGCGTACTTTTCATGACCTGGAGAACTCTTTATCTAGAACTTCACATGACTTTCTCTTTCAAATTATCAAGATATTTGCCGAAATCATTTCTTTAGATATGTCTTCCAGGAAAACCCTATCTATTAGGCTTATCTATTAAAAGTAATGGCAAAAACCACAATTACTTTTCCACCAACCTAATAAGAGTCACTCACCATTCCATCATGTTCTATGCCCTTCTCCAACTTGAATGTTCATACTTTTACCATTATTTGAAATTATGTTTTGAGTATCTTTCTTGGAGTCTACCTTCCTACCCTGTTTTGTCTTTCATTAAATCACACTCCTCAAGTTTTTATTCTACTGCATTGGATCTTCCTCCAGAATATCAATTTTGATCTCATTGTTGGCTATTCTTCCCATTTTACACTTTGCAGTAGCCAGAAACCAGTCTTTGCTCCTCTTCCTTTCTCTTTCTATAAACCAATTTCAGAGTATCTCATGAAAAGTTTAAACTTTAATGATGTGGTTTGGCTGTGTATTATACCATAAGAGAAAAGAAACAAAAGAAGTTTACATAAATATGGAAAGTATTAGGGAGCCAGGATTTTTTCAAATAAAAAGTCATTAAGAAATTTACACTCATCAGTTCATTCAGTTCATTCAGTCCTCCTCTTTTACCCAGCCATGGATAAATGGGGCCAAGGAGCAGCTGAAGACATTGCTTCAAAGGATGCAAGCTCCCAGCCTTGGCAGCTTCCACATGGTGTTGGTCCCGCGGGTGTGCAAAATACAAGAATTGTGGTTTGGGAACCACCACCTAGATTTCAGAAGATGTATGGAAATGCCTGGATGTCCAGGCAGAAGTTTGCTGCAGGGGCAAAGCTCTTATGGAGAAACTCTGCTAGGGTAATGCAGAAAGAAAATGTGGGGTTGGAGCTCCCAAACAGAGTCCCCACTGGGGAACTGCCTAGTAGAGCTGTGAGAAGACAGCCATTGTCCTCCAGACTCCAGAATGGTAGATTCACTGACATCTGGCACCGTGCGCCTGGAAAAGCTGCAGACACTCGTCAGCTCGTGAAAGCATTTGGGAGGGGGGCTGTATGCAGCAAAGCCACAAGGGCAGAGCTGTCCAAGGCCGTGGGAGCCCACCTCTTGCATCAGTGTGACCTCGATGTGAGGCATGGAGTAAAAGGAGATTATTTTGGAGCTTTAAGGTTTAATGACTGCCCTATTTGATTTTGGACTTGCATGAGGTCTGTAGCCCCTTGGTTTGGGCCAGTTCTCCCATTTGGAATGGGTGTATTTGCCCAGTATCTGTACCCACATTGTATCTAGGAAGTAACTAACTTGCTTTTGATTTTACAGGCTCATAGGCAGAAGGTACTTGCCTTGTCTCAAATGAGACTTTGGACTTGGACTTTTGAGTTAATGCTGGAACTAGTTAAGACTTTGGGGAACTGTTGGAAGGGCATGCTTGTATTTTGAATTTTGAAGACAAGAGATTTGGGAGAGGGCAGGGGTGAAACGACATGCTTCAGCTGTGTCTCCACCCAAATTTCATCTTGAGTTGTAGTTCTGAAAATCCCCATGTGTCCTGGGAGGGACCAGGTTGGAGATAATTGAATCGTGGGGGTGGTTTCCTCCATCCTAGTCTTGTGATAGTGAATTAGTTCTCATGAGATCTGATGGTTTTATAAGAGGCTTCCCCCCTTGCTGGACACTCATTCTCTCTCCTGCCACCCTGTAAGGTGGTGCCTTCCACCATGACTGTAACTTTCCTACGGCCTTCCCAGCCATGAGGAATTGTGAGTTGAATTACACTTCTTTCCTATCTAAATTACCCAGTCTCAGGTATGTCTTTATTAGCAGCATGAAAGTGGACTAATGCATTTAATAAAACTTTAAATAAAGTGTATCTATTGATATTTCACAGACCAGCCCTAGACTCATGGGCTGCGAAACATCAGATGCATATGGACACAATCCAGCCAGCTCCTCCATTCCAAACCATTCCTGTGCCCTTCTCCTTGTGTAATTATTTGATTATTTAGTACATTTGCTTTTATTTTCTGTCCATTGGCACCTATGTGTCATTCATCCTGACATTCATAAATTTGGGGATGGACACTTACTGACATCTAACAGAGGATGCTAGGTGACTCTTTTTAAAACTTATTCAATTTTAGCTGACGCTTATGAATGAGGAAAATTTGCAAAGAGCCATATATCAGGTTGGGTTGGGGAAGCATAAAAGGGAATAGAGGCTAAGAAGAAAGGAGAGACTAGGGCCATTGTGGTGCATCTTGGAGAGGTGCAGATTTTCCTGTTTCTAGAACATTGTCTTTAAAAGGATAGTGGATCTCCTAGGTGGTCACTTGTTACTATGTCACTACGTCACTGTGTTACAGGGTCAAATGTGCTACAGTTGGTGATGATGTCCTCCATTCTATCACAATGTTCTGATCCACATTGTGATTTTTCAAGAGAAGAAAAGAAAATTAAAATCTTCCTGAAGTATACTAAATTACAAAGATAAATACAAAATTATCGCAAAAAGGAGAAAAAAGTCATAAATATTTATATCCAGTTTTGCAAAATAAAAACTCTTAGGTAAAAACTCAAAGTTTATGGGTCATATAAAGAAAGGGAGAAAAAAATTGGCTTTAAATCTAAGATCCAAACCCAATACAACTAATTACCTACAATTAAATCTTCAGCCCTGAGGATGAAATTTATTGAACTACACTCTTTATATTTGCCATTGAACCCAAAATTATCAACTAATAAAGGCTATCAAGTTATAACCCAACCCATAAAACCTTCTAAAAGATAATTAGTCCGATGTTTCTTCCCTTCCATAGTTCAATTTAGCCAACATTCAAACAAAATAAAAATGAATGATACCTGACTACAAATTATAATTCTGTGCTGCTTCCTATAACATCTACTTCCAAAATTATTAAAATAACAAATTCCATGTAATTGGAAATTAGAAAATATCTTGCTGTCATATTTGACCTAGTTGCAATTTGCTCTTACCTTCAAAGAGAAACAATGCACCTTTACTCAGCATCCCATAATACCTGAATAGTCCAGACATCACATATAAACTATATAGATAAAATCTCAATCCCAATTTAGTTGTCCTTTGGAATTCAGGTATAAGATGTATTGATGATACTCTTTTCACATACAGATACCCACATGCTCATTAAAGAACTTTAATAATATTTATTGGATCTATTTGGATTTTTGAGATAACATTTGCATTTATAAATTTCATTAAAATTTAATTATACAGTAACTCATAAGTCTGTTCATTACAAAACCCAACTCAGCAACAAGCCAGTGAGACTATGCCATAAACTATACCACAAGCATTTTCTTTAAAAATATCATGAAATTTTGTTCTAGAAGAGATGTTAGATTCAGAGGCTACATGTGCAGTTTTGATACCTGTGTATATTGCTTGATGCTCAGATTTGGGGTACAAATGATTCTGTCATCCCAGTACTGAGCATAGTACCCAAGAGGTAGTTTTTCAACTCTCATCCCTCTCCCTCTGTCTCCCTTCTATTTGTCACCAGTGTCTATTCTTACCATCTTTATATCCATATTTACTTAATGTTTACTTCCCATTTATAAGTGAGAACATGTGGTATTTGGTTTTTGTTTCTTCATTAGTTTGCTTAGGATAAGGGCCTCCAGCTACATCCATATTGCTGCAAAGGGCATGATTTTATCCTTTTTTATAGCTGTGTAGTATTCCATGGTTTATAGGCACCACATTTTCTTTATCGTGTCCACCACTGATGAGCATCTAAGTTGATACCATGTCTTTGCTAATGTGAGTAGCACTGTGATGAAGATACAAGTGCATGTGTCTTTTTGGTAGAATGATTTGTTTTCTTTATTACTATTACTATTATTTTTATTTTAATAGTATTGGGGGTACAGTTGATTTTTGGTTATTCTGATATTTTAGTGCACCTGTCACCCAAGCAGTGTACACTATACAAAATATGTAGTCTTTTATTGCTCACACCCCTCCTAACCTCCCCTACCTTAGTCCTCAAAGCTCATTATATCATTCTGTATGTCTTTGCATCCTCATAGCTTAGCTCCCACTTAAAAGTGAGAACATGTGGTATTTGGCTTTCCATTCCTGAGTTACTTCACTTGGAATAATGGCCTCCAGCTTCACCTAAGTTGCTCCAAATACTTTATTTTCATTCTTTATATGGTTGAGTAGTATTCCATGGTGTATATATGCCACATTTGTTAAATCTACTCATTTGTTGATGAGCATGTAGTTTGGTTTGTATCTTTGCAATTGTGAACATGCGTGTGTATGTGTCTTTTTCAAATAATGGCTTCTTTTTGTTTGTGTAGTTAGTAATGAGATTGCTGGATCAAGTGGTGTATCTACTTTTACTTCTTTAATAAATCTCCATATTGTTTTCCATGGTGGTTGTACTAATTTACATTCCTACCAGCAGTGTAGCCGTATTCCCTTTTCACCTGATTCATATCAACATCTATAGTTTTTTGACCTTTTAATTATGTCAATTCATACAGGAGTAAGGTGGTATCTCATTGTGATTTTAATTTTCATTTCCCTGATAATTAGTGATGTTGAACATTTTGCATATGCTTGTTAGCTGTTTGGATATCTTTTTTTTTTTTTTTTTGAGACGGAGTGTGGCTCTGTCACCCAGGCTGGAGTGCAATGATGCGATCTTGGCTCATTGCAACCTCCACCTCCCAGGTTCAAGTGATTCTCCTGCCTCAGCCTCCCAAGAAGCTAGGACTACAGGCATGCACCATCACGCCCAGCTGATTTTTGTATTTTTAGTAGAGACGGGGTTTCACCATGTTGGCCAGGATGGTTTCGATCTCTTGACCTTGTGATCTACCCACCTCGCCCTCCCAAAGTGCTAGGATTACAGCCATGAACCACCGTGCCTGGCCTGGATATCTTCGTTTAAGAAATATCTATTTATATCCTTTTTGATGGGATTATTTCATTTTTTCCTTGCTTATTTGTTTGGATTCCTTGTAGATTCCAGATAGTAGAACTTTGTCAGATGCAGAGTTTGCAAATTTTTTCTCCAACTCTGTGGGTTGTTTGTTTATTCTGCTAATTATTTATTTTGCTGTGCAGAGCTTTTTAATTTAATTCAGTCTTATTTATTTATTTTTGTTTTTATTGCTTTTGCTTTTGGGCTCTTAGCTATGAATTCTTTGCCTAGTCCAATGTCTGGAAGAGTTTTTCCAATGTTACTTTCTAGAATTTTTATGGTTTCACTGAAGTCTTAGTTTTAAGTCTTTGATCCATTTGAGTTAATTTTTGGAAGGTGAGAGATGGGAATCCAGTTTCATTCTTCTATATGTGGCTGGCCAGTTTTCCCAGCACAATGTACTGAATAGAGTGTCCTTTCCTCAATCTATGTTTTTGTATGCTTTGTCAAAGATCAATTGACTGAGAGTATTTGGCTTTATTTCTTGGTTCTGTATTCTGTTCCATTGGTCTAAGTGCCTATTTTTATACCAGAACCATGCTGTTTTGGCAACGATAGCCTTGTAGTTTAATGTGAAGTCGGATAATGTGATCCCTCCAAATTTGTTCTTTTTGCTTAATATTCCTTTTTATATGCAGGCTCTGTTTTGGTTCCATATGAATTTTATAATTGCTTTTTTCTAGTTCTGTGAAAACTGATGATGGTATTTTGATGGAAATTGCATTGAATCAGTAGATTGCTTTGGGCGGTATGGTCATTTTCACAATATTGATTCTTCCCATCCACGAGCATGGGGTTTGTTTCCATTGTTTTGCATCATCGATGATTTCTTTCAGCCATTTTCTGTAGTTTTCCTTGTACAGATCTTTCACCTCCTTGGTTAAGTGTATTCCTAGGTATTTTATTTCTTTTTTGCAGCTGTTGTAAAAGGATTTCGTTCTTTATTTGATTCTCAGCTTAGTTGCCATTGGTGTATAGCAGTGCTACTGATTTGTGTACAATGATTCTGTAACATGAGACATTACTGAATTTATTTATCAGATCTAGGAGCCTTTTGAATGAGTCTTCAGGGTTTTTAGGTATACAATCATATCATCAGCAAACAGTGACAGTTTGACTCCCTCTTTTCCAATTTAGATGCCTTTTATTTCTTTATCTTGTCTGATTATTCTGGATAAGACTTCCAGTACTATGTTTAGAGAAGTGGTGACAGTGGACATCTTTGTCTTGTTCCAGTTCTCAGGCGGAATGCTTTCAACTTTTCCCCATTCAGTATGATGTTGGCTCTGGGATGGTCATACATGGCTTTTATTACTTTGAGGTTAGTCATTTCCATGCCTGTTTTGTAGAGGGTTTTTATCATAAAGGGACACTGAATTTTATCAAATTCTTTTTCTGTGTCTATTGAGATGATTGTATGGTTTTTGTTTTTAATTCTGTTTATGTGATGTATCACATTTATTGACTTATGTATGTTAAACCATCCCTGCCTCACTGGGATAAAATCCACTTGATCATGATATATTATCTTTATGATGTGTTATTGGATTCAGTTAGTATTTTGTTGAGGATTTTTGCATCTATGTTTACCAGGGATATTAGTTTGTAGTTTTCTTTTTTGTTATGGTTTTTCCTGGTTTTGGTACTAGGGTGATACTGGCTTCATAAAATGATTTAAGGAAGAACCCCTCTTTCTTTCTCTTTTGGAATAGTTTCAGTAGGATTGGTACAATTATTCTTCGAATGTCTGGTAGAATTCAGCTGTGAATCCACCTGGCCTTGGATTTTGTTGTTGTTGTTGTTGTCAGCATTTGTATTACTGATTTAATTATGCTGCTTGTTATTGGCCTGTTCAGGGTTTCTGTTTCTTCCTGATTTAATCTCGGAGGGTTATATGTTTCCAGAATTTTTTCCATTTTCTCTAAATTTTCTAGTTTGTGTATGTAAAGGTGTTCTTAAGCAGTCTTGAATAATCCTTTGTATTTCTGTGGTATCAGTTGTAATATCTCTAGTTTCATTTCTAATTGAGCTTGTTTGGGTTTTCTCTCTTCTTGGTTAATCTCACTAATGGTCTATCAATATTATTGATCTTTTCAAAGAGCCATATTTTTGTTTCATTTAACTTTTGTATTGGTTTGTTTCAATTTCATTTAGTTCTGCTCCAATCTTTGTCATTTCTTTTCTTCTGCTGGCTTTGGGTTTGTTCTTGTTTCTGTAGTTCCTTGAGGTGTTACATAAGGTTGTCAAGTTGTACTCTTTCAGGCTTTTTGATGTAGGCATTTAACACTAGGTACTTTCCTTTTAGCATTGCTTTTACTGTATCCCACAGGGTTTGATAACTTCTGTCACTGTTATCATTCATTTCAAATAATTTTTAAATTTCCATCTTGATTTCATCATTAACCCAACAATCATTTAATAGCAGATTATTGAATTTCCATGTATTTGTATAATTTTGAGGGTTTCCTTTGGAGTTGATTTCCAGTTTTATTCCACTGTGATGTACAAGATATTTAATATGATTTAAATTTTCTTAAATTTATTGAGACTTGTTTTGTGGGCTATTATATGGTCTATCTTGGAGAATGTTCCATGTGCTGATGAGAAGAATTATATTTTGCAGTTGTTGAGAGGAAAGGTCTGTAACTATCTGTTAAGTGCATTTGTTCTAGGGTATAGTTTAAGTTCATTGTTTCTTTGTTGACTTTCTGTCTCAATGATTTGTTTAGTGCTGTCAGTGGAATATTTAAGTCCCCTACTACTATTGTGTTGCTGTGTATCTCATTTCTTAGGTCTAGTAGTAATAGTTTTATAAATCTGGGAGCTCCAATGTTGCTGCATATAAATTTAGAATTGTAATGTCTTCTTGTCGAACTGATCCTTTTATCATTATATAAGGTCTTTCTTTGTCTATTTTTTTCATTGACTGTTGTTGCTTTAAAGTCTGTTTTGTCTCATATAAGAATAGTTACTTATGTTTGTTTTTGGTTTCCATTTGCATGGAATATATTTTTCCATCCCATACCTTGAGTTTATATAAATCCTTATGTGTTAGGTAGTTCTCTTTGAAGACAGCAGATATTTGATTTGTTGCATTTTTTAATCCATTCTGTAATTCTGTATCTTTTAAGTGGGGCATTTAGGTGATTTACATTTAACATTAATATTGAGATGTGAGATACTGAACTATGAATCATATTAGTTGTCACATGGATACTTTGTTTTCTTCATTGTGTTATTCTTTTATAGGCCCTGTAAGTTTTATGCTTTTGGGAGTTTATATTTTAGTGCATATGGAGCTTCTGTTTCAAGATTTAGAATTCTTCTTGGCACTTCTTGTAGTGCTGGTTTGGTAGTGGCAGATTCCCTCAGCATTTGTTTGTCTGAGAAAGATTTTGTGTCTCCTTCATTTACGAAGATTAGTTTTGTTGGATACAAAATTCTTGGCTGAAAATTATTCTTCTTAAGTAGGCTAAAGATAGGGTCCTAATTCCTTCTAGTTTGTAAGTTTTCTACTGAGAAGTCTGCTGTTAGTCTGAAAGGTTTTTCTGAGTGGGCTTCCTGATACTTTTGCCTCACAGCCCTTAGAATTCATTCTTTCATGTTAACTTTAGATAGCCTGATGACTATGTGCCTCGGTGATCTTTGGTGGTGATATTTTTTGCCATAAATTTCCCAGGAATTCTTTGAGCTTCATGTATTTGAATGCCTAAATCTCTAGCAAGGTCAGAAAAGTTTTCCTCAGTTTTTCCCTCAAATACATTTTCCAAACTTTTAGCCTTCTCTTCTCTCTCAGGAACACCAATTATTCTTAGGGTTGGCTACTTTAAATAATCCGATATTTATTGGAGGCTTTACTCGTTTATTTTTTATTCTTATTTTAAAATCTTTGTCTGATTAATCAAAAGCCTTGTCTTTGAGCTCTGAAATTCTTTCTTACTGCTGTTCCAGTCTATTGAAACTTTCCACTGCATTTTGCATTTCCCTAAATGTGCCTTTCATTTCCAGAAGTTCTGATTGTTTTTTCTTTATGATTTCTATCTGTCTGTGAAAATTTTCTTTCATATCCTGAATTGCTTTTAAATTTCTCTGTGTTGGTTTTCACATTTCTCTGGTATCTCCTTGACTAGCTTAATAATCAACCTTCTGAATTTTTTATATAGCATTTCAAATATTTCATCTTCGTTTGGATCCATTGCTGGAGAGCTAGTGTGATCTTTTGGGGATGTCTCAGAACCCTGTTTTGTCATATTACCAGAATTACTTTTCTGCTTCCTTCTTATTTGGATAGGCCATTTATTCAAATTATTCTTGACTTTATTTTTAATTTGACTGTGTTTTTTATATTTCTTTTTTTCCCCTCTTAAGGATGTGACTTTAATGTTTATAGTTTGTTATAGCCTAATTTGATGCTTTTAGAAGTGAAAATTTTATATAGGTTCCTTGAGAGAGTCATGGTGTGCTGGCTTTTTTAGATGCTGGCTGTAGTAGTATGTACTTGGTGTGTGGAAAAGTTCACTGTCTCCTATGGGGTTGAAATGCAAGGATCTCTTGAACGTCATCTCATTCTCCCCCCATGGTGTGCACTTCATTTATTTATTTATTTTTTCCTCAGTATTTGATTTACTGAGTTGATAATTCAAGCTTCAGGGGAGTAAGAGAGGTACCCCTGGGTAGGAACTGTTTGTAGCTAAACAAGGTGGGTAGATGCAATGCCTAATGTTTGGTAGAGGTCCCCACCTTGATGAAAGTGGCTAGGGGAGTTCTCAATTAGATGTACTGAGGTTTCATCAGAGTGAAGAGTGAGAGCTATTTCAGCTCCCCTGCCAGGCTAGAAGAAAATTTATCCACCTCCCAACCTCACTCCTGTCCCAGTGTTCTGGCTATTCAGATCAGACAGACACCTCTTCTTATCTATAAGAATGTTAATGTTCCAGGTTGAAAGGAACTGTGACTTTCCCTCTTCTGCGAGCCTGATCCTGGGGATTGCTCCTCCTGTGAGGATGCAATCACCCCGAATTGTTTCAGGAAGGCTCTCCATAGGTGCATTTACACTGAGTTCCTATGAGAGAAACCTCAGCGGTGTCTGCAGTGGTAGATAAGGGAAGAACAAGAACCCCTTCTTCAAGACCCTTCATAAGTACGAAGGCTGTCTGACTGTTGGGTTAGAGATGCAGACTCCAGCACTGCAACTGTGTCTCTGCTGTAAGACACTTCCCACCAGCAGAAAGATATGGGAATCAAGGGCTGCTGTCTGGATTATTTTGTCCCATTGAGAGATGACAGCATGCTGGCAGTCCTCACAGCCCTCGCTCGCTCTAGGCTCCTCCTCTGCCTGGGTTCCCACTTTGGCGGCACTTGCGGAGCCCTTCAGCCCACCGCTGCACTGTGGGAGCCCCTTTCTGGGCTGGCTGAGGCCGGAGCCCACTCCCTCAGCTTGCAGGGAGGTGTGGAGGGAGAGGCGCCAGCGGGAACCGGGGCTGAGTGCGTCGCTTGCGGGCCAGCTGGAGTTCCGGGTGGGCGTGGGCTTGGCGGGCTCCGCACTCGGAGCAGCCGGCCGGCCAGCCCTGCCGGCCCCGGGCAATGAGGGGCTTAGCACCCGGGCCAGTGGCTGCGGAGGGTGTACTGGGTCCCCCAGCAGTGCCGGCCCGTCCGTCGGCGCTGCGCTCGATTTCTCGCGGGGCCTTAGCTGCCTTCCCGCGGGGCAGGGCTCGGGACCTGCAGCCTGCCATGCCTGAGCCTCCCATCCACTCCGTGGGCTCCTGTGCCGCCCGAGCCTCCCCGATGAGGGCCGCCCCCTGCTCCACGGTGCCTAGTCCCCTGACACCCAAGAGCTGAGGAGTGTGGGTGCACCGGGCGGGACTGGCAGGCAGCTCTACCTGCAGCCCCAGTGCGGGATCCACTGGGTGAAGCCAGCTGGGCTCCTGAGCCTGGTGGAGAGGTGGAGAACCTTTATGTCTAGCTCAGGGATTGTAAATACACCAATGGACACTGTGTATCTAGCTCAAGGTTTGTTAACACACCAATCAGCACCCTGTGTCTAGCTCAGAGTTTGTGAGTGCACCAATCCACACTCTGTATCTAGCTGCTCTGGTGGGGCCTTGGAGAACCTTTGTGTCCACACTCTGTATCTAGTTAATCTAGTGGGGACGTAGAGAACCTTTGTGTCTAGCTCAGGGATTGTAAATGCACCAATCAGCACCCTGTCAAAACAGACCAGTCAGCTCTACCAATCAGCAGGATGTGGGTGGGGCCAGATAAGAGAATAAAAGCAGGCTGCCCCAGCCAGCAGTGGCAACCTGCTCGGGTCCCCTCCCACACTTTGGAGGCTTTGTTCTTTTGCTCTTTGCAATAAATCTTGCTACTGCTCACTCTTTGAGTCCACGCTGCTTTTATGAGCTTAACACTCACTGGGAAAGTCTGCAGCTTCCCTCCTGAAGCCAGCGCGACCAGGAGCCCACGGGGAGGAAAGAACAACTCCAGACGCGCTGCCTTAAGAGCTGTAACACAGCGAAGGTCTGCAGCTTAACTCCTGAGCCAGCAAGACCACGAACCCACCAGAAGGATGAAACTCCGAACACATCCAAACATCAGAAGGAACAAACTCCAGACATGCCACCTTAAGAGCTGTAACACTCACCGCAAGGGTCCGTGGCTTCATTCTTGAAGTCAGTGAGACCAAGAACCCACCAATTCCGGACACACCATGGGGTGTTCCCTTGATGTAGTGTTCTCTCCTTTTTCCTAGGAGTAGGAATTCCTGAGAGCCAGACTACAGCGATTGCTATAGCTCTTCTGGGTCTAGCCATCTAATAACACTGCCACACTCTAGGTTGGTGCTAGGGAATGTCTGCAAGGGGTCCAGTGATGCGAGCTGTGTTCAACATTCCCATCAATGGATACCAGCACCAACCCTGATGGAGGTGGCAGGGGAGTGACGTAGACTGTGAGATTCCTTCAATGTAGATAGGCTTAGTGTGCTGGCTTTCTTTTTTTCTTTTTTTCTTTTCTTTTCTTTTTTTTTTTTTGGACAGAATCTCGGTCTGTCGCCAGGCTGGAGTGCACTGGCACGATCTGGGCTCACTGCAAGGTCCGCCTCCCGGGTTCACTCCATTCTCCTGCCTCAGCCTCCTGAGTAGCTGGGATTACAGGCGCCCGCCACCATGCCCAGCTAATTTTTTTTTTTTTTTTTTTTTTTTTTTTAGTAGAGAGGGGGTTTCATTGTGTTAGCCAGGATGGTCTCTATCTCTTGACCTCGAGATCCTCCTGCCTTGGCCTAGTGTGCTGGCTTTCTTTTATGCAAGTTATAATCGTAGTGAACTTGTTTTGCAGACAAACTCAGGATCTCGGGTTAGCCATGGTGTTGCAGTCAGTGAGGAGAGCTGAGGTCATGCAGCCATTTTCTCTTTCCTGAGTGCAGTGTTATTTTACCTAGAGATGCTGCAATAGACTGTATCAGTTAGCCTCCAGCCGGGAGGTGGTTCTTGCAAAAAAGCACCAGCTGTGGTAGTAGCGGTGGGATTTGAGCATGCCCTAAATTTCCCCGGGGAAGTGTTCTGGTTTCTTACGGGATTGGTGGGACTATAAAATTCTTAAAAGTTTATGTTCTTTGTGTTAAGCTACCAGGGAGGGTGGAGGGGCACCGCTAGATGGGGGCAAGTTTAGGTGGGTCTTCATTTTGAAATCTCTTTGAAAGGGGCAAGCCACAGCCCCTGTGAGAGTCAGGGGATGCTTCTCAGGCCACTAGGTTAAGATTCCAGAGAGGAAATAACTGCCTCTGCTGCACAGAAGAGTTTGCAAAGGGAGTAGGGGATAGCAGGCAGCAGTAAGCCTCACCCAAATCCTATACAGTTGGCAAGGCAGCTCTCATTCCCTCAGTGCTTTGCTAATAGCACCAGGTTAAGATCCAGGCAGTCTGCATACAGAACTCAGACCTGCCCCAAGCCATAAGCTTTCCCTGCAGAGATAGCATGGCTTACAGGCCATGTCCCTCCCCATCTGCCTATAAGGCCAGGTAGCCAGTGAGATATAATCAGGAATGGCTTCCCGTGGCCCATGCTGGAGCCTGGGAATGCCTGCAAGCCATTTCCCATTGCTACTTCTACTTTTATATTTCTCACCACTCTCTACATCAATTCCAGCTCTGGGTGAGGTTAAAGCCTTCTCTCATGGCATGTATTTTCAGGTTCCCTGTGGGAATGTGTATTCTGGAAGAAGTCTCTATGCCTCTCACACTCTAGGGACTTAAGAGTTTTTCACTGGTCTCGTGGAGTAGGCTTCAGCATGCTCCTTCTTTCAAAGGGTCTGTGGATTCTTTTGGTTTTCCTATTAAGTTCCTGCATTGTTTCTTAGAAAAAAGTTCACAGTGTGAATCTCTACACATTATTCTTTCCTTCCAAGTGGGAGAGGCATGCTAACACTGCTTCCAATCCACAATCTTGGGGAAAAGAAAAAATGATTTGTTTTCTTTTGTATATATATCCTGCAATGGTATTGCCAGGTAAAATAGTAGTTCTAAGTTCATTGAGAATTTCCAAACTACTTTCCACAGTGGTTGAACTAATTTACTTTCCCACGTAAAGTGTATAAGCATTTCCCTTTCTCTGCCAGCATTTGTTGTTTATTGATTTTTTAATCATAGCTATTCTGACCAGTATGAGATGGTATCTCATTGTGGTTTTTGAATTGCATTTCTCTGGTGATTAGTGATGTGAGTGATATGGATCATTTTTCACACATTGTTTTGGTAGCATGTATGTCTGCTTTGGAAAAGTATCTTTTCATGTCCTATGCCCATTTTTAATGGGGTTATTTGTTTTTTTCTTGTTTAATTGTTTAAGTTTCTTATCGTTTCTGGATATTAGACCTTTGTTGGATGAATAGTTTGAGATATTTTCTCTCCTTTGGTAGGTTGTCTGTTTACTCTGTTGATGGCTTCTTTTGCAGTGCAGAAGCTCATTAGTTTAATTAGGTTCCACTTGTCAATTTTTGTTTTGTTGCAATTCCTTTTGAAAACTTAATCATAAATTATTTCCCAAAGCTAATGTCAGGAAGAGTATTTCCTGGGTTTTCTTCAGGACTCTTACAGTTTGAGGTCTTATGTTTAAATCTTTAATCCATTTCGAGTTAATATTTGTATATGGTGTAAGGTATGGGTCCAATTTCATTCTTCTGCACATAGCTAGCCAGTTATCCCAGCACTAGTAATAGAATAGGGGATTCTTTTCCCATTCCTTATTTTTGTCAACTTTGTCAAAGATCAGATGGCTGTAGGTGTGTAGCTTTATTTCTGGGTTCTCTGTTCTGTTTCATTGGTATATGTGTCTCTCTTTATACCAGTACAATGCTGTTTGGTTACTGTTGCCTTATAGTGTAGTTTGAAGTCAGGTAATGTGATGCTTCTGGTTTTGCTGTTTTTGCTTAGGGTTGCTTTGGCTATATGGGCTCTTTTTTAGTTTCATATGAATTTTAAAATAGTTTTCTCTAGTTGTATAAAAAATGTCATTGGTAGTTTGATAGAAATAGCATTGAATCTGGAAGTTTCTTTTGGCAGTATGACCATTTTAGCAATATTGAATTTTCCACTCTATGGGAAAGGACTGTTTATCCACTTGTTTGTGTCATCTATAATTTCTTTTAGTAGTGTTTTGCATTTCTCCTTGTAGATATCATTCACCTCCTTGGTTATATATATTCTTGTGTTTTAATTTTTTGTGGCTGTTATAAATGGGATTTTTCTGATTTTGTTTTCAGCTTGAATGTTATTGGCATAGAAAAATGCTACTAATTTTTGTACATTGATTTTATATGCACAAACTTTACTAAAGTCATGTATCAGTTCCAGGAGCCTTTTTGTAAAGTCCTTAAGGTTTTCTAGGTATACAATTATATCAATTATGTCATCCACAAAGAGAGATAGTTTGACTTCTTTTCCTATTTGAATATCTTTTATTCCTCTTTCCTGATGGGATGGCTAGCACTTCCAATAATATACCAAATCCAGCAAAGCAATCCGAAGAAGAAAGCTACAAGCCAATATCTCTGATGAATAGAGACACAAAAGCCCTCAACAAAATAATAGCAAACCAAATCCAATATCACATCAAAACTTAACTCACCATGATTAATCAGACTTCTTTCCTGGGATGCAAGATTGTTTCACCATTTGTAAATCAATAAATGTGATTCACCACATAAACAGAATTAAAATCAAACATCCCTTCATAATAAAAACTCTCAACAGACTAGCCAGCAAGGGAACATACCTCACAGTAATAAGAGCCATCTATTACAAACCCACGGTCAACTTCATAGTGAATGGGAACAAACTGGAAGCATTCTCCTTGAGAACTGGAACAAGACAAGGAAGGCACCATGCTTTTTGGAACTTTGTACCTACTCAAGATGGCCATTAATTGCCCATGGGCTTCTGATGGAAAAACAAAAACAAAAACAAACAAACCTGCCTTCTATCAAAAACAACAAAAACAACAACAAAATTCCCCCCCAACCCCACCAAAGAAAAACAAACAAACCCAAACCTTAATAGAATTACTACTGGCCATATATCAGGTCTTATGGAAGACTTAAACTCACAGGTCTTTAACAAGTGACCCTTTGGACTCATCTTCACATTATACCTTTGGCCATGGAGAGGGCAATTACTGGGTTGGTTTATTAGTCTGTTCTCATGCTGCTAATAAAGACATACCCGAGACTGGATAATTTATAAAGAAAAGAGGTTTAATTGACTCAAAGTTTTGCATGGTTGGGGAGGCCTCAAGAAACTTACAATCATGGTGGAAGGGGAAGCAAACAGTACTCCCTTACATGTCAGCAAGAGACACAATGGGAGCCAAGCGAAGGAGGAAGCCTGGAAGCCCCTTATAAAACCATCAAATCTCATGAGAACTCACTCACTATCACGGGAACAGCATAGGGGAAACTGCCCTTATGATTCAATTATCTCAACCTGGTCCCATCATTGACACGTGGGTATTATTACAATTCAAGATGAGTTTTGGGTGGGGACATAACCAAACCATATCCGCTGGAAAGGCCATAAAAGCTTTCTAGTTAAAATTCAAGTGACATCTTTTGATAAAGCCAGACTTGAGCCTTGTGCTGTATCCCTCTGCAGGAAGGAGTGGCTTTCCCTTATCTTCAGTTTTGCCTGAGACTGTGATTTCAGAGTAGGCCACCTCTCTTCTGAAGTTATTGGCCATTATGGGGAAGGTACTCTAGGAACAAAGTAAAGAAGAAAAAGTTTTTATGCTAGGAGGAGGGTGCCAACCTTAAAAGAGATGGGGCTTTCTGGAGAGTAAATGAGAAAAACATTATACATATGATAAAATTCAGAAAAAATAATTTCAGCATTCTATGTTACCTATTTCCAAAATATCCTGTATCTTATGTATATATATGAAAATACACTGCACAATTCTGTAGAATACACTGTGCTATCAATTTTATGATGTATTACTTTATGATTGATGTTCCCATATTTTTCAGAACTTTTATCCTCAGTATTACAGACTAAATTGTTATTGGTATTGATTTGTAGGAGGATGCACCTATTTAGGGAAAAACTGAACTTTGTACTCAGATAAGAAAAATCAATCTTAATACTGTAGCTGTTTCAAGTATAATATTTTGCTTAAGTTTTTATGTTTAGAACATTTTAAAAGTATATATACCCAAACACAGACATTTCAAAATATATTGCACAACACATTTTAAAGACTTTTGAAAGAGTAAAAGAATACGCTTTTCTCAGATGGTATTTGGGTCCAATCAATTAAGTAAGGACCAAACTTCTGATTTGTTATTTTTAAAAATTTGTATTGATGGTTTTTACATTTAGTTTCACTGCAATGAGCCCAGTTTTCTCTTTAAAGTAATGAGTACCCTGCAATGAGTTTTATTGAGTTGACAGATGTTTACATATGAATAATCAAATACGTACATAAATAAACATTTAGTACCTATAGAAGTGCAATTGGAGCAAAGAGAGGAGATAAAATGAAAAATAGATTACATCTTAGTAAACTCATGCAGAAAGGGTGTGAATTATACAACGTTAGGGTACATTTGCCACTAGATTAATGAACATTTATTCACAAAATTCTCAAAGAAGAAAAATGAGCAAATACTAATTACATTTCTCATTTAATATATTATCAATTTATATGTGTGAATAAGTTGTGTACTTAAAAGACCAGCAGGCAAATTTTTAATAAGAAATGATATTATGATCTTGTTTTAATGTTTAGTTACATATGGAAAAACACGGGAGTTTAAAATTCTTACATCAAATCCAAAAAGTTACCTTGCACAGGAACAACAGAGACTACATATATGAAAGTTTTGATGTTGTAACTCTACTGTAGCTTTAAAAAATTCTACTTTTGTGTTTTATTTGCAAATATCACCTTTATTATGCTTCTCGATGCCGAGGATATTTTCCATACCAATTGAATGTGAAACAATCCAAAGTTTCATTTTAAAGATAACTGTGAGCATTTTCTTCCACAAATTTTAAAAACAGCCCTAGGCAGAAAAATAACAGATATTTGGTATTCCAAGAGAGGGAGACTGAGAGAAGGTGGAAAGCTACCTATTGGGTACAATGTTCACTATTGAGGTGACCAGCACACTAAAAGCCCAAACTTCACCATTACACAATATATCTACGTAACAAACCTGCATACGTGCTCCCTGAATCTATAAAAACAACACAAAACCAACAACAAAAAAAAGCTCTAGCTCTTTTTTTACCTTTAGAAGTATTCATGTCCAATATTCTCAAATGAGTGGAAATATATTCTACATAAACTCTTTAGATCCCAATGATGTTGCAATCAAAGAAATACCTGATATTGTTAACAAAAGCCAATGAGGTCTTCAGAGGAAAAACAAAGGAGAGTTTTGTTTTTAAAACAAAAACAAAAAGCAATATTCAGATAGGGGAGACACCTTTGAAACAAATGTGAAGTAAGCTCCAGATAACAAAGAGCAGGCCTTGCTTAATGAATAGGGAAAGTCTCTGCCTCAGCCCTCAATGAGGTCCACATATGCATATGAAGAATTCCAACTTGTTCAGTCCTAATTGGTTGAATACAGTTAAGTTCTGGCTGGGTAGTTTCCAAGCTCAAACCAGAAGTCTTTTTTAGCTGCCCCTTTCAGGCCGCTGGTGGAAGGAGTTTTCCCACCAGAGCTTGAGCTCCAGTTACAGGAACCATCTTAACTCAGAGGTGCAAACAAGATGTTCCTCTGAAGCTGCCCTCTCTGGGAACAAAGTGGGTGTGACCACCCTTCTCTCATTCACCTTGGCCGATGGGTTAGTTTCATTTCACAATATACAGAAACAATTGACAGCAGACAAAGATACAATAAAAAGTGTTTTTGAGTACATTTCTGTTTTTTCAAGGGATGAGGAATCATTTAACTTCAAAATCGGGCCAGAAATTAACAAAATCAACAAGTTGATCTTAAAATCATTGAGATATGTTATTGATACTTACATTTGTTGCACTTTGATTTGCTACAGTATGGTTCTCATGATACCAAACGTATGATCTTGGTCTTGAAAATTATATGATTCACAAATGATCACCAGACACTTTTGAAATACAAGTATAGGTGGCAGTTGATGGGATTGTGATCAACTCTTTGTAACTCTACTAAGAGCTAACCATTTCAAAAAAAATCTCAACATATATGTTGGCAGCAGTTACTTCTGAAAAAAAAGGACAAAAAACTTTGCAAAACACCTGTAGGTGGTTTCTTAAAGTTTTTATGTTGAGAACTCACAATTTTCTCAGTTGCCTTCCCAAACACTAGAACTCTTTAACTCCTTTTTATGCTACACTAATATATTGAAGTTCAAAAATCTTTGAAAAAAAATTATTCCTAGGAGAGAATATTGTAGATGCAGTGCTGTGAATTGTGATAAGGTATCTTACCTGAGCAAATGATTTAATAGGCTTCACCTTAACTTTCATGTCTCAGCAAGAACTTCTAAGTAAATCTTACATGTTAAAATTTGTTTGGAGAAGAAAGAAACGGTGTTTGTGAATTTCAATTTGAATCAGAAGACATTTTGACATTATTCATGTGGAAAATATTTATGTGCATAAAACAAACAAATAAATTAAACATGTTGTTTTGGTAACCACTTCATTGTATTGTATGACAGTTGTGTGGTAACTGATGTATTATGTAGCAATTGTTTTTCCCAAACAGCTAAATATTTTCCATACACAATTTCTTTTTCCAAATGAAAAGTGCAGACAGCTCTAGAAAGTTTTGGAAATTAAAAAAAAATGTTTTTGACCTCCAGATCAAATAATTTTATTAACATTCAGTAACATGAACATTAAAAACACAGCCATCAGCATATTTTCTGCATTCTCCGCACTTATTTTATGTGACTAAGAAATTATGCACACATCCAAAATGGATGTAACCTTGTAACATATTATAAGCTTTGCTTAACACATAGATAACTGAGAAAAATACATTAATAATTCACCATATTCCCTAATGACAATATACGATCTTTTACTTTATTTGGGTGATGGATACCCTTAATTGTGTACTACAATAAAGAAAAATCATATATTTTCTTAAAGCATTAATGAAAAGGTCTTTATACTATCAGATCATCTTTGCCTTAAATGTAACAGGAATCAAGGAATATTCACTCACTAGCCTTCTAAATTTATCGATCAAATTTAGAATTGTGTGTTTAATAATAGTGTCTATTCAGAAAAACAGACTCATCTGCAATGGGTAGTAGATAAACAGACTTTTAACTCATTGAGTTACAGAGGTATATATATTGTCCTTCGAGTTATAGAACTGAAAAGCCAACAAAGACCTTCAGAAAGAAGGAAACAGAGGAGGAGGGATTATATTTCCTGAAACCAACTCTAAATGAGAAATTATATGAAGGTCTGTTTTATAGATAAAATTAAGCCTACAGATAAGTTTTCTAGTACTCACAGTGGTGTGTGTGTGTGTGTGTGTGTGTGTGTGTGTATGTATTCATTATATCTAAATTTTAAAATTAAATTAAAATTCTTTAAGAAAATTATGCATTAACCAATATGTCACTGCCATCACCATTTCCTATTGTCTTATGCACAGCACAATTCATACAATTATCATTTTTAGCAGCTCGTTTAGGTATTTCCATTTCTGGCCCATGCTCTACATAAACTATGCTATCTCTTATTTGAAATAGTGTTCTGTAAAAGCAATGGTCAAAAAAATATTGGTTTCTGATGTACAACTTTCTATTATCCCCATGATTATAGTTTATTTATATCTAGTCAAATCATTTCATTATAATTTTAATGATAACACCTTTAAATGTTTTTAATATACTTACTCATTTTTGTATATAACTTGTCAAGGAGTATAAGAGTAAACTTGCTATCTGAAGAGCTACAACCGAAGATAAAGAAAAATATAAAAACACAGTTTCTGGCTTGAATGTAAAAGGAGAACTATGTGAATAGATTAGTGTTTAAGCAATGAAATGAAGTCTTCACGATAGTTTATGTATTTGCCAATTTATGTATAAGCATTTTCTCCCCAAACACAAGTTTATTGCAAAAGCTGCCCTAATTTAATCTTATGTATGACTCAATTTAATCATCTTTTGACTGAAGCCAGAGGTTCTTTATACCATCTAGTGCTCACACCTAACAAATGGGGAACAACCATAAGACTGAATAATCAAGCTTACTTGAAGGCCAATCACTGTTGCCATTTCTATGCATTCCTTCATCTTTAATCACAGTCTTTTTGATTTAGACAACTTATTAGAGTTACTAGTCACAGGCAAGAGAAATCATTGTGAGTTCTATAAGCAGAAAGGCAATTTATGAAAAGGATACTGAATAGTTCCAAAATCACAGAAAGGGCTGGAGAACTGGTCTGAGGGTTCTCTAGCTTGAAACTGAACCCCAGGCCCATCCTGCAACAAGACAGCATCACAGCTATTGCTGCTAATCATCACTGAATGCTGAAGCTCTAAAAGCTAACCCCAGATACTAGATCTACCACCAACACTGTTGCCACAACTGTCCTGGGAATCTGAATTAGCCACGCCTGCTTCTGTCTCTACTGGGACTCAGTGGTAGCTCCCTTTCTTTCCCTCACTATCTCCTAATTCCAAATCTAGGCACATGCTTGCTGTGTTTGACAGAGCCCAGGTCAGGCATCTATGTTCTGCCCATAAGTGATGCTGGGAAAGGATATGCATGTCACTGACATCGTTCAGTTTGGAATTTCCCAAGCATAGGATAGTAGTTCAAATGGGATATCCAAAAAGACTGATACATGTCCACTACAATCACCTGCAAGTTTTCCCTAAAATTGGAGTCTGACTTCAGAGGCTGATAAAATTAATTTACTTATAAACAGACAGTCTCTACTGGAGACTCTGTTTATAAGTAAATTAGGAAGGAGAAAGAAGTTGGCTGAAATCTGAAAAGTTCTTTTTATCCAAGAATTTAGATTAAGTTTACTTCTTAGCTTCATTTAGAAATAAGCCAGTTTATACCTGATTTGACTAAGTGAATGCTATTGGCAAAGCCACAAGTTTGAAATTTCTATAATATGACACCCTGTATTTTATGATATGCCTGTAATTTAGCTTCTTTGAGAGTAGGAAGTTTACATTTCTGTAAAACATTTTTTGAATTATAATTAACAATAAAAATGGTCAGGTAAGCAAGATGTGAATATATTTGAGACTATAGATTATAAGCATTACTGTATCTCAGCTAAGCTTATATGGTATATATTTGTCTTACTAAGACTAGAAATCTTTTGTTTGGATGTTTGGAAGTCAGTTGCCCATGGGCATCCCTTGGACACCCAAAATGAGAGTTTAGCCAATTTGCTGTTCTGAGCTGAAGTACTTTACCAATGGCCCCTACTGTGAGTGGGATTGACTTAGATTGTAAAATCTACAGGCACAGCAAGAGTCAGGGGTAAATCACATCTTAGAAGAGAGTTTCTCCTGCTAGCTGCAAGCCAGTATGAGAAGAAAATAGAGAAGACATGAAGGCAGAAAGTAAACAACAACAATAAATCTCAAAAGCAGTAACTATACAATAGGACTTCTATGTGCTTTTAACATTTAAATTCTGTCTCATTGGAGAGGTTATTGAGATTTAATTACAATTTGAGGCTTCATTTGTTTAAGATTTGATTTGAACTGTTTTATAGAAACATATGTCTGCTATATTTTGATAATTTTTTACTATAAAACCTCATCACAATGTAATATTTAATATAAATAATAGACGTCTAAATAGTAATAACTGTAATTCTACCATTCATTAACTGAATGAATTGAATGTAGGTATTTTTACCTACTGAAAAAGAAAGCAACAATAATGTTAATTTTTCTCAAAATTTTCATTCATTTCTTTATTCATATTACTAAGACTCTGACACTGGTCCCTTCATTGAATTTGCAATTACATTATATATATATATATATATATATATATATATATATATATATATATATATATATATATGTAGACTGCACATTTTTTGGCAGTTATTTGGCACACCTAAGAATCCATGAATCTTTATAAAAACTGTCTCCCTTAGAGTTCCTTAGGCTAGTTTAGAAAGTACTGCTCCACATTATAAGTAGTTTTTCTTGCCTACTCTGCACCTGATAAGAATATTTACCCCTTTTAAATATCAGTAGCCAATTACAGCTATGTAGCGTTTATGAACTAGAAAGGAAGAAAACATATTCTGGGATGTGTTCATATGTGAGTTCTCTTAAATTTTAAGGGAAATTGTCAGGAGAGCATATTTATGATTTTCCATTGTAAATGTCAATGGTTAGAATCTTATTTTGCTATTAAGTAAATAATTTGGGAGCCAAAGGATTCAATTTGGGGAATTATACACATACATGATTAATGTTTTAAAGTAAAATTACAAATTTTATTGATGTATCAACATACGCCTATTTTTAAATAAGAAGAAAATGCAGGAAAAAGAAAAGGCGGCCCCTATTCCTACCACTCAAAGATGCCTAGGGTTAATTTGGTGTATATTCTAGTATCCTTGTATTGTTTCTTTAAAATATGTTAATATGCTATAAGTCATTATTTTTATTTAATGCTATATCACCTATATTATTCATGTTATTATAGATTCTTTGTCATAATAATAATAGCTACATAATATCTCATAAAACTACTCTACTAGAATTTACTTAAGCATTATGACAATTTAAAGTATATACAAGGTTTCTAATATTTCAAAGTAAAAAATGACACTGAAATTTTAGGCTTACAGCATTGTATACATTTTTGAGTTTTTCCTTTGGCGAGATTTAAAGGACTAGAAGTATACAATAAGAGGATGTAAAATATTAAGGCTTTGATACCTAGTTAACAATTGCTTCTCAGCATTTTAACTAAGTTTCTGAGGGCAATATAAAAATACATATCAATATCTACCATGTATCTTTGTTATTTAACTTAGGTATTAGAAATTTGTATTAAAAATAATTATAATGGATAGACTAAAATAATCAGAGCTGTTTATTGATTTTAATAGAGAATATTCAACAATAATGGTTGGTTACCAAAAGCTTATGAACAAAGCTCTATAGCATGAAATATTACACTCAATAAAATATTATTGAAGCAAAAAGTAATGATATAAAATTATTTTTGATAGTTTAGATTCCAAACTTAGTTATAAAACCATATATAAACACACATATGTTTTAAATATTTTGAAATATATATTATATATACACATAGGCCTGATAAGAATGTATTTTTCAGTATTACTTTTCTCTTGTTTTTGTACATGTATTTTTATGTCAAAAATATATTTTTTAATCAGAAAAAACAAATAAGTTTGTACCACGCTTCATTTGTAAGAGTCTTGCATGAGAATGACATTTTTTATACTAAGTACATACAATAAAAGAGGAATGCAAATTTGAAAATAAACTATGAAAAATACTTTTGGAAATAACTACCATGTTTTAGACACCTGGCAGTTATAATTTCAAATAAACATACGGCATATTGTATAGCATTAATTTCTATTTGTAATGACTACATTATACTATACCTTTTCAACATAAATTAAAATCTGTGAATAAAATACGTACTTCCATCAGGAGTGAGCCTAGCCTAGTGCCAAAAAGACTCTATGCTTGAAGTATACAGTGGAACACAGCAAATCCATCCTTTTTTTCTTCTCATTTTGACCTTATTAGTGAGTATAGTATTAGGATATTCATTGGAAAACAATTGCACAATATATACTAATTTCATAATTTTAATAATCTATCTGCATTTTAACTTTTATATTCTCATAAGCACCAGTTTCCACAAAAAATTTTAATAGATTATCTCCTATAAAAATAAGTCTTGCATCCATTCTTGTAGACAGTTTTATAAAAATTGTGCCTTTCTATCAGGCTGTCATATTGATGGCAATGGCAAGCAGTTTGAAGCAGCCACTGCCATCACGCCGGCTGCAGCAGGAAGGCATTGGTCAGGACAGCATGCTCCACAGAGCAGGCAGGAGCCCCATCCTCCCAGGCACAGCTGCAGCCACCCAAACCACAGCTGTGCATCCATGCATCCCTGCACTCTTGGGGTCTCAGGAAGACCCCTCCTGCCCTTGCAGGCTTGGAAGTACCTGCTCCCACTGTCTGGCTTCTCCCCACTGTCAGCATCCACTCCAGTCTTGGAGCAATGTGGGGCCAAGCCTGGGCACTGTTGCAGCCTGGCCAGGGATGCACACACTTGGGACAATGCTGAGACACAAGGCCCCTGCTGCCTCGAGCCCCTCTGGACTTCGGGCGCCAACAGGCATGTGAGGGAGGCCAAGGGAGACTAAGGACAGCCCTGTGCTGGCCTACAGATGCCCCTTTGCATGAGCAGCCTGGGCACCATAGATGGCAGCAGGAGACAGACAAGCTCCTGGGTGGAAGGGGGCAGTCCCCAGTGAGGCCTCACCTTCAGGCCAGGGAAGGCCTGAAGGCTGGCAGTCAGGCTGCCAGTCATGCAGACTGGAGTAAGTGCATGTGGTGCCTTTTCCGGGCCACCCATGGCCACCCATGGACCAATCAGCACACACTTCCTCTCATCTGAGGCCCATATAACCCCAGGGCTCAGACAGAGCAGAACAGACATCAGAACAACTAGCTGCAGAGAGGAACAGTCCACTCCAGGGCCTCCTCTCTGCTGAGAGCTGGGGAGACAGGACAACCTCCCTGCAGAGAGAAGCTTCCCACTCCAGGGCCTCCTCTCTGCTAGGAGCTGAACACTCATCTGGACACTGTGGCTGCATGGCTGTGGAAAGGAGCTGCCCCCCTGCAGGAGACTTAGCTGTTATATCACTCAATAAAGCTCCTATTCATCTTGCTCATAGTCCCACTTGTTTCCATATCTCATTCTTCATGGTGGTAGGAGAAGAACTCTGGATCTGTCAAATGGTGGGGCTAAAAGAGCTGTAACACAAACAGGGCTGAAACATGTCCCTTGCTCGACACACTGCTGCTGAAGAGTAAAGAAGAACTGAGGCCCTTCAGAAATCCCAGACCTGGAAGCTTCTGTAGCCAGGGCGGTGACTCTTTGGGGCTCTGCAGTTCCTGGCATCTCAAGCCAGCACCTGGAGCTGCCTGTCCCGCTGTGGTAGCTGTCACATCTGATTGTGCTCAGTGGCTAGACCCCACATTCATTCACACACCCTTTGCTGTTCCACACCTGAATCACGCTTGGCAAGTATGGGACCCAGGCTGGTAGTGTGAGCTGAGTGCAGATTGCCAGGACAAGCAGGTAAAACAAGCCCAGTAGGCCCGAGCTACTAGGGCAACTAGGGCAACAATGCCACCCACAGAGGTTTCCGACCAGAAAAATGACACCCCAATGATCCTGTAACAATATAACAGGGTTAGAAATTAATTATGAATGCTAATCTTATAGAATAGTCATTTCCCAGATTAAGAGTACAGAAACAGGTGCAAAGGTACATTGACCTTTCTCAAAGAAAAAAAATGATATTCATTCCTTTCTATTAATGTTAATTTTAAGACAAATAAGTCATATGTTTTCGTTCATTTTATAATAAATCACTTCCCTTTCTATAATATGTAATATTAATTGTGTCCAGGTACCAGGACATTTTAATCTTTGCATTAGTCAATTCTCACTATATGAAAAAGTTGCTTCTCTTAGCTACAGATAATTATAAAGACCCAGTAAGTTTTTCATATACACCAGCCTTCCCTCACAAAAGCACGTGCATCTCCCAGCAGGTGGATGAAGACAGGGGCAGCGGGAGGCTGATAACAAGCTCTTTTTACTAAGCAAATATTTCAAAGGAAAGATATTAACTTATCAATATTGTCCTTGAGTATAATGAGCATTTTAAATAACACACACCTGAACTTTTCATTTTGAGTGTTTTATTTTAGAAATGTATGGCTTTCTGTATTTATCATTTATTTTGAAACTACATGTATCTGCTCTCGCAAACCTCTCCTTCATTCAAGAAAATAGACTCTCTACCACACAGAAGAGCATGAATGTGCAACCAATAATTATTTTTGTTTGTCTAATTATCATTCTATCCAAATAACTTCAATATATTTTTCTGCTTTTATAGGTAATTAATTTCTAAAGTTAGTATTGACAACAAATACATCATATACATTTTAATTTATGTGACATAACTAAGTGAACCAGTGTACATACAAGTGCTTGAGAAATTCCTACATGATTACAAATACTTAAACAGTACATGATAGCTAGTTAGACTTTTAAAACTTCACATAACATTTGACAGTTCCTTTGGAACCTGATTTGGAAGATTATGCCTTACGGCAACAGCTCTATCCTGTTCGTTCTAACCTTGAAGTTTTACATTTTGTAAATAGCAAAGCAAGCCTTGGAAAACCTTGTAATTGACAAGGTAATATATGAATACCATACAATGCATACACTGCATTTCTGTTTCTGTTTACTCATAACTTCATATGTATTAAATGACTGAGTCTGTAATTCCAATATGTAAATTCCAATTCAATAAGTTTTGCACTAGCCTTTTAAAAAAGACAAACTGTCGAGTATACCACTAGGTGGCAGAGAAAGATCAGAAAATTTCCATTACATACTCATGTATTAAAATGTATTTATAGTGCACTTAAAAGTCTTTCTTGAATTACATTTTATATATAAAATTGTGTTCGGTCTCAGTATGCTTTTAGTTATTATGAAAACATGTTTTATAAAGATTTTTACCAAATACATTTTAACAGGAAATATTTTATTCTTTGTGATATATACATATATGAAATATATAATACATTTCCGATATGTAAACACTATGTGTGTACATGAGTGTGTATGCACTGGCAAATTTTATACCCTATATAGAATAATACTTTAGGAAAAAGCAAAATGTAAACTAATCCTATGACATCCTACATTCACATTTTCTTTTGTGATAAAGTCTTAATTTAAAATTTTTCTAGCTAAGAATAATTCAATATAACTTATATTCATAAACTCTAACATTTTACTTTTATATCATTACATATATGACTGTATTTAAATTACTATATTTTATAATCAATGTAATTTGCTACTCATAGGTGTCTTCTAAATTATCTTTATTCATATTCATATTATTTTTGTAGGGTTACTGATTAATCAAAAGTTTCAAACAGCTACTGATATTTGAAGGAATGCTTCTACTTTCTATAGTTGATGAATTTGGTAAAATAATAGCATATTTTCTCTGATAATTCTTCGTCTTTACTCTCGCAAAGAGAGACAGTTTTTTTTTTTTCTAACAAAAAAATATGTGAAAGCAGCAGACTGAGCTAGCAAATGTCAGGTCCGGTTTTGCTTCCACAGCGGATATACTCTGTGATCCTTAGTAAATCAACATACTGATGCCAATTAATAAGTGAAAAGAGTTTAGTGACCTAAAATTCTAATGAAGGAGAGGAGAATGACTTCATTAATATGTAATTGATTTTTTTTTTTTTAGTTGCCAGGTTTAGAGAAGCTCGAACGGAACTTTTTACAATTTTTTAATTTTTAATTTTTGTGGGTACATAGTAGGTGTATGGATAGAAATTTTTTACTCAGTTTTAGACTATTATAAGCTTACTTGTTTACTTTCAGGTTGAATTTTTACAGTGTTCCTACGTTCCATCCTACCTGATTGGTCTTTTCATTTCTTACTTTTCCTCCCCAAATTTATCACCTATTATTTATCTTCCTTCATTCCCTCTCCACCTCTCCTCATTTGTTGTTTGAATGAATGAGTTGGAAAATAGGGATAAGATCTCGAAGAATCAGAAAGTTATGATTTAGAATTACTTGGTGGGGCAAAGGGATACGGATTGTTCTGTTTTTCTGAACTCTTTGGGAATTTTTAAAAAAACATTGGCACATTGACTTAGCATAAATAAAGCAGACTGGACATAAGGAAGATTCTCATTGCTGAGTTGCTGGGCAGAAATTTGGAATTCATTTCTGTATTTTCTAAAACATGTTATTATTTGCTAAAATATCTACAATCCCAAGCAACAAAAACAGATAAATAAGTTTAACTCTTTAAGTCTTTAATTCTGTGACTGATATGCTCACTTCAGGTAGGTAAATTATTTTCATAGCTGTGCTTACAAAACACTAAAACCTGTTTGCAATTATGATAGCACACAGTATATAGGCAACATTTTGAAGTCTTATGAGATTTTACTTTCTCTGCTATACCTTTGATGTTACTAGTAATATATTTAAAAAATAAATATTTTCAAAGTATTTTTCTCATCGAAAGAGGGTAAACACTTTATGGACAGGGACAGTATCTGAAACATTTTAAATGTCTGGAGATTCTTATTATATAGGCATTGAATAAATATTTGTGGATTATTTGATTACCTTCTTATCACCTAACTTCAGAAAAATCAAAATGATAGATATTAACAGAAATTCATTAGCCACACCAAGACCACTGCAGGCACCTGGTTTGAGCCTTCAACATTTTCCAGAGATTCTGGACTTTCAGTAACTCCTACTATTTCTATTCAGGCTAGGAGTGACAAGTTGGATAAAAACCATCACCTATAGGTAATTTTAGTAGCCTCTAATTTCCAGGCTAAATTGGAATTCCCCTCCCCAGGCCCCAAAATTAAAAGCAAGATCCAGGTTACTCTTTGGCAGATTATGACTGAACACATCACTCTGCCTTGGGATTGTTTTCTGCCCAGTGGTAATCAATATAAGCACAGGATTCCCAAATATGTGCTAACTGCCATCTTCTTATTCAGAAGTGGAGTTCTATCGTCCAAAAGGTCCATTTCTCAGATTTGCTAGATTACTTAGCAATCCACCAATTATGAAGTATAACCACAATGATGATGACAACAATATCACCAACACAGACTGATTTCTTATAATATGCCAAACATTATCCTAAGAGCTTAAATCGATTTGATACCTTTTGCTAAACGTGGTAAGATAACAATGTCAAAAAGCTCAAGAACAAAAATTGTATTTACTATGTCACCTGTAGGCTAAAATTGCCTGCAGTTTTGCTGCACAAATCAATGGGGGAATATTTTTCAATCTATTAACCTTGACATATATATGATATATTTTTCCTAATATTTTGAATTTTTCCCTTGATTTTTTTTAGCTCACTCTTGTAATCGTCCTAGGAAACCCTTACCACATATCAATCTGCCAACAGCTGAATAGATTAGTTCCTTACTAGTTCTTAAAAATTTCTTACTAATTCTTTCATCTCAAAGGAAAAATGATATATACATACATATTATACACACACATAAAATCTAATTATTTTTCCCTTAAAAAATCTATCCAGAATGTTACTTTCATGAAAAAAAACCCACAACCCTCTATGACCACATTTTCCCTAGATATAATGGATGTTGACAGACTTAAAGAAAAGAGAAAAAACATCACCAACTAAAGACACTAGTTGATATTACTGTCCTACTAAACTTTAAATATGTGCCTGTTTTTTTGGATTCTTGAAGTTAACCCGAACTTAGCAACTACAAACTTACCATTTAAAAATATTTTTCAGTTGAGAAACACCCTACTCTCTTTTGCATTGATAAAACGATCACATTAGAAAAATATGTTTTTAGCATCAGTCATGTTCTATTTGAAGCATTTTATTTGCTGTTCTCTCTACATTCTACATCTGCTTATATTAATAGAATATGATACTATACACAGGGGTTTACTAAGACTCTAACCAATGTTGAGAAGAAAGAAAAGATTTTTTTTTCTACACATTCTATGTCATTCCATTAAAATATTTTCATACAACACAAACCATCGCAAGGCAATACACTGTTAGTGGCCCAGGATGTTCTCAGTGTCATGCATAATTGATGTTCAACAATTGGATTTTCATTTTACTTTCATATACAGCAGACATGATAAATATTATCCCTAAATATTTTGTCTTTTATTTCGCTATTATATTTTATACTTTTATTATCTTATATCTATCTCTTGTTTTTCAAGAAAAGTTTAAATCCCATTGAAAACTAAGCCATTTATAATGTTACAAAAAGAATATCATGTGCTTATTTAAAAAATAGAAGCTTTATAATAGATTAATTATCTAATTTTATTTTGAGAATCTAGCAAGTTAGGAGTCATGTAAACTCATAAAATACTCACAATCTGCTTTTAAGTCTTCTAAATGTTGGCGGGAATGTTAAGGAATTGCAGAATAAAGTCCTCATCCACATGGAGCTTAGAGCTTGCCTTAGTCTGTTTTGTGCTGCTATAATAGAATATCTAAGCCTGGTTAATTTATAAAGAAACTGTGTCATCTCATAATGGAAGGCAAAAGGATAAGAGTGGGTCAAAGAGAGAGAGAGGATAAGAGAGACAGAGGATAAGAGAGAGAGAAGAGAAAAGGAGACCAAACTTGCCTTTTTACGATGAACCCATCCCTGTGATAATACACACACTCCCAATGGCATTAACTTATTCATGAGGGCAAAGTCCTCATGGCTTAATCACTTCTCATTAGGCCCCACCACCCAATACTGTTGCATTGGAGATTAAGTTTCCAACACATGCTTTTTGAGGTACACACTCAAACCATAGCATTCCACGACTGCCCTAAAACGCATGTTCTTCTCATGAGCAAGATACATTTATTCCAATCCAGTAGCCCCAAAGTCTTAACTCATTCTGAACCAACTTAAAAGTCCAAAGTCCAGAGTCTCATCTAACTCAGATATCACTGGGAACCAAGGCACGATTAATCCTAAGGCAAGTTCCCTTCCAAATATGAGACTGTGAAATCAAAACAAGTTATCTCTCTCCAAAATACAAAGTAGAACAGACATAGGATAAATATTCCCATTCCCAAAGGTAGGAATAAGCAAAAGGAAAGAAGTAATATGACCCAAGTAAGTCCAAAACCAAACAGGACACACAACACTAAATCTTAAGACTCTAGAAAAATTGTTTACTCTATGTGCCACCCCTTGGTCACACTAGGGCTGGGGTTGGGCCCCCAAGGCCTCAGATAGCCTTACTCATATGGCGTTACTTGGCTTGACTCACATAGCAGCTCTCACAGGTTGGAATCTCATGCCTGCAGCTCTCCAAAGTTGTTGTTGCATGATGGCAGCTCAACAGTTCTGGAGTCTATGAAGTGGCATTGCTCCCATGGCTCCACTAAGCATTGCCCTGGTGGAGGCTCTCTGTGGCAGATTCAATTGCACATTTCTGCTGGACATTGTTCTACTAGGTACTCTCTGCAGTTTCTCCATCCTTATGGCAAGTCTATGCCTGAACCCCTAGGCTGTAGGCAACATCCTTTAAAATTTAGGTGGAAGAAGCCATACCCCCATAGCTCAGGAACTCTGTTGGCTTGCAGAGTTAGCACGGCATGAGTGTTGCCAAAGCTTACTACTTATACTCTGCTCGAGGCACAGATGGGACAGCAGGAGAGCACTGTGCCTGAATGCAAGGATCAGACACTCGAGGCAGCACGGGGCAGCAATGGCTGAGATCCTGAAAGTGCCTCTCTAGAAACCTGGCCCTCAAGGTCTTAGCTTGCCTCAAAGATCTCAGAAATGTGTTTTAGGATCCTATGGGTACTAATTTTTCGAGCAAACAGACTTTTGGCCAAACCCTTGATTTACTCTCTTAAAGATGCCTTTTCACTCTTTATGTGGCCAGGCTGTGAATTTTCCAAATCTTTCCACTCTGCTCTCTTGCTTACTATATATTCTATCTTTACGTCATTTCTCTCCTTTCATATCATACTATACGTAAGTAAAAGTAGCCATGCAGCTCCTTCAATATTTTGTTTAGAAAATTTCTTCCACCAGATGTCTTAATCTCTTTAAGCTCTGCCTTCCACAAAGCCCTGGGATATGGACACAATTCAGCCAACCTTATTGACAATTTATAACAAAGATGGCCTTTACTCCAGTTTCCAATGAGGTATTTTTTATTTTCTGCTGAGACCTCATCACAATGGCCTTTACTAACCATATTTCTACCAATATTCTGAATGCAACTCCTTAATCAATCTCCAAGATGTTCCATCTTTTCCCTATAGTTCTTTTCTTCTTCTCAGCCCTCACCAGAATTGCTCTTAATCCTCTGTTCACAGTAACACAGGGTTTTTGTAGCCTGCTCTTCCAAATTTTTCCAGCCTCCATTCATTACCAAGTTTCAAAACCACGTTCACATTTTCAGGTATTTGTTATAGCAAAATCCCACTTTTCCATTTCCAAATTTCTGTCTTCCTTAATTTTGTGCTGCTGAAACAGTACCTGAGACCAGATAATTTATAAAGAGCAGAAACTGATGGGCTTACAGTTTCATAGGCTGGGAAGTCCAAGACCAAGGGGCAGCATCTGGCAAGGGTCTTTTTGCTGCATCATCGGATAGAGGAAGGTGAAAGGGTGAGAGAGGGTGAGGCTGATTGAGGAACTTGTCCTTTTATCAGAAACCCATTTTCCCATGATTAGAAATCTTACTCCGAAGATAATGGCATGAATCCTTTCATGAGGCACAGAACTCTTGTGACCTAATTACCTTTCATTAGGCTTCACCCCCAACATTGTTGCACTGGGGAATGAGTTTTGAACATATGCTCTTTGGGGGGCAAAAGGAACCATAGCAGAGTTCAGTTGTCCATGAGTATACAATATCCTAGCTTAGAAAAGTAAATTTTGTCTTTATTTTCTGCCATATTCTCCTCAGTATTGAGAGTTTGTTTGGCTTCTGTCCAAGAAGGTTTTTCTACGTAATCAATGCAAAGTGTTTTCTGAAGAGGATTAGTATACATGCCTATAAGAACAGCTCCAAGACACACTGTTCAACCGTTTCTTTTCTTCCCCTTCAGAGAACATTTGAGGCAATATATGAAGGGTTGCCAGGCTCAAGCCCAGCATCTCTTAAATATCAGGCAATTTTGTCTGGTTGTTATTAGTTTATTATATTTACTGTTACTTAGTTGGATTGGCCATGAAAGATTAGCCTTCTAGAAACTTTCTAGTCCTTGTCATTCATTTGATATCTGTCATGAGGCAAAAAGAGAAACTTGCACATTTTTAAATATGAACATGGGTTAGGGCGTTGCTTTAGTCTTTTGCCACAAGGGCACTATTAGATATGAGGAAGAATAATGCTTTGTTGAAAGGAACTGTCCTATGCATTACAGAATATTAAGTATCCCTTCCCTCTAGGAAATAAGTGAAAATAGCTTCTTTCCTCCAGTGATTGTTACCATTAGAACATCTCAATTATTTTACTAAAGGCTTAAGTGTGGTAGAGACATTACATTACAAGCCCAGAGAACCACTGTTATACTTAGGATATTTCTTTTCGACTAAAATAAAAACGTGATTCTGTATAAATTATAAATTAGTATATTTATAACACATATACAAAATTTAGCAGAGGAAAGTTTCAAGCAATTATAAATTCCTAAATAGTATTATTACGATACTCAGATTAAACCCTCAGGATTATTGCTCACCCTTTAGTAAGCCTGGATGATCTTCCAGAGATAAAGGGAACCATACTCTTTTTAGAGATACAAATAATTTTAGAAACAATTGCAGTCTATTCCCTTTATTTTACAAAAGCATATGAGAAAACGTAAGTCAAACAGTGGCTGTGATCACATTTTGAACCCTGAACTTGTGAAAAGAGGTATTCAAGACCATGTTCACACTAATAACATAACTTAATGTTTCTAAGGAGAAGGAAGTGAAAGGCATGCTTCTAAATGCTTTTTAGCCCATTTCCCAAACTAATTTTTCAAATTAGGACTATTTCTGTGTCTCATATAGTTCTAGGTCTAGCACCACTAGAGAATCTTAGGGCAAACTTCATTTTCACAGAAAAAAAAATTCCTTTGTCTTTTTTTTTTCCCATTCTAATTGGAATAAATAAAGCCCAAACAGAACTTTCACACAAAAGTGTCATTGTCACTGATTAATTCCATCATAACTTCTTTGGCTGCTGACATTATCTCCTAACTGTGGTGTTCTGAACTGTTGTAAATATTACTTTACACATTCTTAAAATGTCCCACTAATCATCTGTAAGGTAATCAGTTCCTTTAATCACATTTAAGTATGAAATCATAGATTTTATGTGATTTAATTTTATTCTTCGTGATAGCAATAATACTAGACTGGGGCCCATGGAATGTGGCATTTGTATTCCACAGGTTCATTTATGAGTCTTAATTATAATAGAATGCCCCGCTGGATAGAGAGTAGATCTGTTGTGAAATTCAAAATATTGCCACTGATTTTTGTATTATTATTATCTAGAAGCTTGCTATTCTATCACAAAGAGAATAAAGTTATTTGGGCCTAATTTATTCTTTACAGACCCTGGCTGTTTACTGCCTTGACGCTTCCTGTTTCTCTGGGTAATATCAAATTGATTAGTAAAAGAATCTTTACATGATCTTCCAAGTAATCAAAATTAAACTGTTCAGCTAGAATAACATATTCTTTTTATTATTTATTAAAGAGAGATGCTGCATAGTCTACATTTCTATTTTTTTATGAATTTTGCCTTTTAGAGTTAGGCTTTTAATGAACTTAAATCCTGACTTAAGGAATCTTAACTTTTAGTGTCTCCTCTTTGCTGTACTCCCTTTCTACTAATTTCTACTCCTTTACTCCAAAACTGTATTTGGAAATTAACCTAATAAAATTGCTCTCAGATTTCATCAGATTTCCATTTGACATGAAAAATGAAAAACAGTGGGAATCTCCCCTAGTACATTCCAAGTTTTCTTATTCCCATTGCTTTTTCGTCTCTTGGCATTAATTCATGTTTACACCCACTATGATCATTCCTTCCTCCATCTTCACTGCTTCTTGAGATAAATTGCAAACCGAGGTAACAAATCAGCAGCTGGAGGAGCAGGTACACAGACATCAGCTTGTGACTCTGCACATAAGCAAGAGTTAGCCAAGGGTGAAGAATCTTCCCCAAATTGTCTGAAAGTAATGGAAAATGTGGCTCATGTTTATATAACTTTATTAGGGGTAGTCAAACTACTTATCTAAAGCTTTTCAAAAATCAGAAGGAAAACAGCAGCATAATAAATTGGCCTCAAAATTAATTTGTTCAAAAGATCATAGAGCACTGGAAACCAGGGAATTTAAAGAGCAGATGCCCCTCGAGCATCTCAGGTATCATTTTTAAAAACCTGAAACAGACGAGAAAATATTTAATAAAGCAAATAAGATACACAGTTAATTATACATTTTGTTCTGATCGTCTGATGCAAGTACAAAGGGACTACTAAGAAGAAATTTTTCCATATATGGAACAGTATTTTGACATATGACATCTGTGCATACTTCCTTTCAAATTTGCTTCATGGTATAATTTTCTCAGTGTATTTATTAAGTGACATGAATAAAAACATTTCAAGATCCCATGGTGTGTTTTCAGAAAGATGTTTTTTAAAAAGTCTATTTTGAGGAAGATTCCACATTTGTTGTCTCAGTAGACATTTTCATGCTAGGCTCCGGAAGAAATAAGAGCTTCTGATTGTGCTAATAATTTAAAAACTTTAAAGATTATGTAATTGATGCAGTATAATTTCAAAGTGAAATTATATATCTGTATTTGATACTGTACAAATAAATGGAAATCTGCTTCTGTTCATTGTAGCAAATAGTTTTTGTTTTGCAACTTATTTATTTATTACTCCATATGTTCCCATATGCTGAAACAATATTCATAGAGAGCTCAATGGAAAATAAAATAATCAATTTAACATTGCAAATAGGTGCCAAATAAATTAGTCTTGCTGAAGAAATAAGTGAATTTCCAGACCTCAGATACTGAGGTTAGACACTTATACAGAATATAGTGGGGCCTTGGGAAAAATTTACTTGCTAAGGTTGTATTGCTTTTCACCTCTTATTTTCTTCTCATTATAAAACAGACTCTCAAATTGATAACACAAGCACATACCTAAAGTTCTAGTTTTATGGTAAATTGTCCAAAATTTGTGGTGAAATAATTTTTGACATAAAACAATGAATAAAATACATAGATTCAAAGATTACACTTGTTTATGCCTCAGGCTTATTTTGATGACTGAAACGTGGGAAAACGTAAGAGTCTTGCAAATGTTGTCACCTTCACCTCATGAACTCCATCCTTTTGTCCTCCAACAAAAGCATATATCATAATGATCCTCATTGTTAACTAGCTAACATTTCGACTCACATTAAAACCATAAAATTTTACTGCTAAAGTTAGAAAAATAACTCTAAAATGGACGCATTTCTTTGTCTTTTTATTTTCTGTTTAAAATATATTGGATTTTTTTAAAAGAAAAAAATTTCACATTTTGCCTTCGTCTATCTTGTGTTATTCTACTTTAACAAAGTGAGTATTATTACTTCCTAGAAGATGTATATTTCAGAACAGTGAGTGAGCTGTACAGACTTTAATGGTATAGGATTCACAATTACTTATTGACAAAGGTGTAATAAAAGGTTAATGAATGTTAACTTGCTAATTAAAATTCATTAGCATAACATTGTCTTATGTTAAAGATATTCAGATATGAAATTATGGGTTGCTTTTATTTTAGTTTAGCTTTGCTATTTTTGTTTCTAATTTAGGAGCTCTGACATTTAAATTTTTTTTCCTGCTACCAAAGATATCAACTGTGATGACTGATGAATGTACCATAAATGTTATGACCATATTCCCTGAATTTTTATATTCTATCTATGTTCTTTGGAGCTATAACTAATTTAGAATAGCCATACACCTACTGTTATATTTAGTTGTTAACAAATATGCAATGTTTCAAATAACACTGGATATACATATTACATATTTCTGATTATGTTTTAAGAGTAAATCCCAGAAGAATGAAAGCATCTTAACCATGTCCTGAAAACTTGTACCATTTGCCTGCCTTCAGTTGGCTTCCCTGTAATACTCAATACAAGACATCATGATTTCTTAAAAATAGTATTTTTCAAATGGATTAGGAAAATGGTAATTCATTTTGTTTGCAATGTTGTTCAAAGAGAAATTTTAATTTTTCTATCATTTAAACATGAAAAAACAAAAATGACTATTATTTTATATATTATATAAAACAAATTTACATAAATGATTTGATTTATTTAATTTAAATACATTCTTTGTTTCTACTTTTGTTTCTGCTCCAAAGAGAAAAGTTTTCCAACTTAGACAATCAGTAAACCATGTGCCACAGATTGATAAAATTTAATGATTACACAGAGTAAGGAGGTATAGAATTATAAAATTATAAAACATTTCATTTTGTGTTTTACCCATTCACTTATGCATTCAATTACAATATACTGAGTAATTTCTATGCTCCTAAAATAAGCCTTTTGTACAGTGGCTTCTAGAGTTTACATCAGAAAAATATGTATGTCTCTTACCTAAAAGGAAAATTAAAATTGAACTCCATTAAATGTGACAATGTCTGCATCTACTCATATATTCATGTTATAAAATTTATAAAATATTAGAACTTAAAGGAACTGATGAATTGCTGCTATCACCCTCATAATTGATTTTTGTATAGAATGAAAGTGGGACATAGGAAGTTAAACAACTTGTACAAGGTTACACTGCACATTAAAAGCTGTGAAAAGAACCATGGTATAGGATTCCAGATCTAGTATCCTTTCAATGACTGGAATATGTCATAGCAGTAATGAGACTGATTTTTCTATGGATAAATTAGAATATTTTGATATGGTGAAATGTTACCTTATATAACAAAAAAAAATGCTCATATAACTTGCCTTTAGACTACGACTTTTCTGGTATGCTTACACTGTGTTTGTTTCACCAATAGATGGCAAACTTAACTGCTTATATTATAGTTTTATGATTTAACAGTCTGGTCAGCTACACAGAAATCCTCCATTTATTGGGACTTTAAGAATATGCTACTATTTTAAGCAAGCTGTGCTTTATAAAGGGAATATGTAAGTTTCTTTGCTGGTTGTTTAAAAAACTCAGTCACCTGTCAATACAGCAATATATTGTAAGTCAAATCAATACTTATGCCAATCAGGAAATAATTTTTTTCTAAATATGTTCTACCCGAGTCTTCTATAGTCCTTTAATAGATAAAATGTTATATAACAGTATACACAATCCAGTTTTACATATTTAAACTTTCATGACACTTTTTCATATTACTGCTAGTTTTATCTCTGGGCCTACCTTCATATTATTCTGCTATACATATTTAGACCAAAGAATAAACTGTTAATAAGTGATTTAATGTACACGTCAAAGTAAGATGTGTTCTAATCTGCTTTCTCAACTTCCTTGATAAACTAAATTGACTGTATTATATAGATATTTTTAGCTTCCTGAACACTATTTTAAAGTGTCCATTTAGGAGAACTTTATGTTCTAGACTGAAATGATTCTAATTTTTTAAACTCCACTGCTTGAACTTTTGTTATAAATTAGAAAACAAACACTAGATTATTTCTGAGAAATAGTCTAATTTTGTTACATCCACCGAGCAGTTGGAATCGTCCATAGATGTGTGTACGCGCGAATATTTCTCAGATTTTATCAGTATTCTTTCAGGCCTTCTGATATCACATGCAGAGTCACTCCCCATTAATAGCTCATGTGGATTGTTCTGTGGTGTGATAAACAGAGAGAAGTTATTTATCTCCAAAAGCTAAGTTATTAGCCCACAGTTTCCAGAAAAGACGAAGACAGTGCCTTATTAAAGTATAAAGAATCCCTCACTTTTTAACCTTTTAAGTGAAAATGCATAACAACACTCTCCATTGATCATCGCCGTTAGTACTTGGCTCACTGATTTCTTCATTGCTATTTCAGTCATCATTGGTGGAAATTCAACACGGATCCATCTAAAATCTTTGACCTGCTCCACTCCTGGATCTTGTCTTCATCTCTTTAATTCCCATGTCAAAAATCTGCATTTTATTTTTATTTTATTTATTTATATTTTTGAGACAGTGTCTCGCTCTGTTTCCCAGGCTGGAGTATAGTGGCACCATAAGGCTCACTGCAGCCTCAACCTCCTGGGCTCAAGTGATCCTCCTGTCTCAGCCTCCTGAGTAGCTGGGACTATAGGTATGCCACCACACTCAGCTAATTTTTGTTTTTATTTTTAGTAATGATATGGCCTCGCTATGTTGCCCAGGCTAACCTTGAACTCCTGGCCTCAAGCCATCATCCCCACTTGGCCTCCCAGAGTGCTGGGATTATAGGTATGAGACACTACACCCAGCCAAAAATCTGCATTTTAAACATCCCACTTTACTTTCACATTCTAACTTTCTTATTTACTTACTGAAGTAATTCCATTCCAGCTACCTTTCAATCTTTCACAGGCCTCCAATAATTGACTCTATGTTTTTCCTCTCCAAATCCATTTTTACCTTTGCCTTCCTACACACCCTGTCCTCACAGCCCTCCTCATGCACCCAAGATTCCTTAGATTCCTTGGTGACTATGCAGCACCGCAGCACTATAGCCAACGTCTTTCTAAGGCCTTGGTCTTTTTTGTCCTCTTCACCCACTGACCTAGTTGCTGGCAAAACCCCAACAATTGTTAAATCCAACCATTTATCCACCAGTCTCAGCAGCTATCTATGAATGAAGAAAAAATCCTTCCATTGTGTGAACTGATCTCACTTTATATTTACAAATCACAAGTGGGCATTCAGCACACATAGAGATTTCAGCACATATCTCCAAGCACTTAAATTACCATTTCCATACTGTTTTTCTCTTTCCAAACACACCACACCCCCTTACTCTACCCTGAAGATGGTAAATCAAATGTTATTGAAAATATTTATCGTAAGAATTGATCTTATCTTTCCAAAACCAATTCACTCATGTATCTGTATCTGTACCTAGATAGTCTTGTCTATCTGTATCTGTACCTGGATAGTCTTGTCTTTCCTCCTGTTACATAGAGATGTCTGCTGTTATCTAAGACCAACTTCTTCATATGTGGTTTGAAGAACCTCATTGACTCTCATTTATTGATTGTCCTTGCTCTACAGTTAGGTCCCCTCTCTCTCCATCATTAAGATTTTCTTACCTCTAAATCATTCCCAACAGTAAAGCAAACAAACAACAAAAATGTTTCAATATCATTCTATATTTTTAAAAATGGCCTCATAGGGCTCACCAGCCAACAGCTTCTATTCATTTTCTCTATTCTCTTTCTCATTAAAACACCTTAGAAGAATTTTCTGTAGTAATTGAACCTACTCTTGTACTTAAGTCCTCTTCTCAACCCATCCAAAATGGTTGTCAATGCACCTCTCAATTTCACTGAAATTGTTCCTTCAAATGTCGAGCGATCTCCACTCTGTTGTCCATTCCTTCCTTCTCAGTAGACCGTCTCTCTCAGCTGTTGTAACACCACACTCTTTGGAATGTCTTTTTAAACTCACTGGCCATTTCTTTTCATGATTTTTTGCTGGTTTTCAATGCTGGATTTCTCTAGGCTTCCTTTAAGCCCTCTTTTTTCTTTCCAAGCCACAATTTCTCTTTATGTAACCTTTTCCAGGCCTATGGCTTGGACCAACCTTGCATCTTATCTCCAGCTCCACCTTCTCTTTTGATCTCCATATTTATACATCCTATCCACCACTTTGTATCTCTGCAGGTGTATTTAATATAAAAACTTTAAATATATTTCAAACAGAATGTTTAGTCATCTTTCTACAAGCCAAAGCTAATTCTCTATTTTTTCTTTTTTTTCCAGACAGGTTCTCACTCTGTCTCACTCTGTCATCCAGACTGGAGGTCAGTAGCATGATCTCAGCTTACCACAACCTCCACCTCCCAGGCTCAAGCAATTGTCCTGGGAACCTCCCTCCAGTAGCTGGGATTACAGGGGCATGCCTCTACCATCCAGCTGATTTTTGTATTTTTAGTAGAGACACGGTTTCACCATGTTGGCCAGGCTGGTCTTAAACTCCTGACCTCAAATGATCCACTCACCTCGGCCTCCCAAAGTGCTGGGATTACAGTCATGAGCCATTGCGCCCAGCCCTCTCTTTATTTCAACATTTAAGAATTATGCTTTCTTGCTTTATTTTCCCTGGAGTCTATGCGCAACATGTCATCACTTTCATTGACCTTATCACCACCATACATCTAGAATCTTTTCACTCTCCGAAGTCATTATAGCTGAATCTCTAACCTAAGCCATCATTGCTCACCTGGCTTAAAGAGTGGACAAAACAAACTTAAAAGCTTAAATCATAACATTTTTTTCCCTAGCTCAACACTCCTCTAATTGTTCCCCTGAAAGTGAAAGGCCATGTAAGACCTGCATCCTGATTTCCTCTCCATCCTCAATTCCCAACACTCCTTCTTTTTTTCTTTATGCTTTAGCCAAAATAATCTTTCTCCCATCACTTATATATGTCAAAATTATTCCTATCTTGGAAACTCCGGACTGTTTCTGGAATTTATTTTCTTTCAATATTTTAAATGTCTTCTTATCACATAGGTTCAGCTTAAATGTCTTCAGGGTTCTTAACAACTACCATAGCTAGTCACCCTCCATAAAGTTTCTGTTTCAACCCAAAAATACTAGCTATTGGTTTATACATTTCTTGACTGTCTCCCCTGGAATGCAAGCTTCATGAGGCCAGTGACTTTGTGTCACTTGTTCACCAACACATCCAGAATACCTAGAGCAATCATTCTCAGGTGGTAGGGCCTCAAACATATAGATAAAAAATTAGAGGTAGGTTTGGAACATGAGCACTTCACCGTACATCAAATTATTTTCATGAATAGTTTTAATTGCAGTTATTCAGTCTTATGGAAATCACAGTTTTCTTAAAAATTTTAAGATAACAATATAACTTGCTATGTCTGCCATAATAACGTACCTAAGATCGTGTGACTTAAACAGCAGGCATTTGTTTTTCCACAGTTCTGGAAGACAAAAGTCTAATATCAAATGTTGGCAGGATTGGTTTATTTTGAGGCTTCACTTGTTGGTTTGCAAATGGTTTGCACCTTCTCCCTGTGTCTTCATAGCAACTTTTCTCTGGACATGGCTGTATCCAATTTTCTTCTTCTTTTAAGAACACCAATTATATTAGATTAAGACCCATCTTAATGACCCCATCTTAACTGAATTGTGTCTTTAAAGATTCTATTTCCAAATATAGTCACATTCTGATACATTGGAGGTTAGAACTTCAACATCTAAATTTTAAGTGAGGGAGGACACATTTCAGTTCATAAGAGATACCTATTGAGGAAGAGTCAAATTTGCATTCTAATCTAGTTTTCCCAATTTTTAAGACCTTGTGGAAATTACTTAGCCACAATAAATCTCTTTCTTCATCAATAAAATGTTAACAGTCATAAAGCAACTTTAAAGGATTATTGTGAACAGTAAAAGAAAAACATATATATATATATGTGTGTGTGTGTGTGTGTGTGTATTTTTTTTTTTTTTTGAGATGGAGTCTTGCTCTGTCACCCATGCTGGAGTGCAGTGGTGCAATCTCGGCTCACTGCAAGCTCTGCCTCCCAGGTTCATGCCATCCTCCTGCTTCAGCCTCCCTAGTAGCTGGGACTACAGGTGCTCGCCACCACACCTGGCTAATTTTTTGTATTTTTAGAAGACACAGGGTTTTGCTGTGCTAGCCAGGATGGTCTCGATCTCCTGACCTCGTGATCCATCTGCCTCAGCCTCCTAAAGTGCATATATATATTTTTTGAGACAAATTCTCACTCTGCTGCCCAGGCTGGAGTGCAGTGGTGCAAACACGGCTCCCTGCAGCATTGATTTCCTGGGCTCAAGTGATCTTCCTGCCTCAGCCTCCCATGTAACTGGGAACACAGGTGAACGCCACTCTGCTCGGCTAATATTTTTATATTTGTTTTTTATATAGACGAGGTCTCACCATGTTGCCCAGGCTGGTCTCAAACACCTGCGCTCAAGTGATCCTCCTATCCCAGCCTCCCAAAGTGCTGGGATTACAGGCATGAGCCAACATGCCTGGCCAAGAAAAAATTAATAGATGATAATATGTGTTTGTCACACAGTAGGTAATCATTTTATGTTAGAAATTACTGTTGTTTCCATTTCTTTGTCTTTTCTGGGATGTATTATTATTTTTTCTATTGTGCTGTGTGTGCGTGTGTGTGTTTCTTTTTTATTATCATCTCTCTTTCAAGCTAAACTGACTCCATATGTAGAATGAAGTATGTAGAATGAAGGTAGAGTAAGCAGAATAATTAATTATACGGAGCATGTGCTCAATGTGCAACCACTCTGTACTGAACATCAGGAGCCCTGCTCACATGCTGCAAAATCCCTCCGGGTCACAATATTCATTTTGTCAGTAAAGCTTATGCCTGTTTTGAATTGGCAGTCATGCATGGGGAGTGAGCAACAGTGAATTATCCTTGAGCACCTTTTATGTTTTCTTCAATCTGGGTGATGTTAGATATGTACAAAATATGGTATCTGACCCTAAAGAGTAAATAATTCAATTTAGAGGTCTGCAAGCTTTTACTTTTTTATGTAAAGGACCAGAGAGTAAATATTTGAGGCTTTGCAGCCCATATGATCTCTGTGGCAATGATTCAACTCTGCTGTTGTAGTGCGAAAGCAGTCATGGACAATACATAAATAAATGAGCATGGCTGTGCTCCAATGAATATCTATTTATGGACACTGAAATTTGAATTTCATATAATTTTCACATGCCATGAAATATTATTCTACTTTTGATTGTTTTCAACAACTCAAAGTTACTTTGTAGTCTGTGGGCCTACAAAAATAGATAACAGACTACATTTGGCCTGTGGTCCATAAGTTATCAACCTCCGACCTAGCTTAAAAAGTGAGAAAATACTTTGGAAATGTATTGTGACTAAGACATGAAATTTATTGCTATGTTTTGTGGTATGGACTTTACTTAATTTCGGTGATCTAAGGTTATTAATATTAATATTAATTCTCTTTTAAGCATGTCACAATGGGGTTTGATAGATCCCTCTACTTTCTACCCCTATCCCTCAGATGATAACTATATAGATAGCTATTATTGTCTTCTAGATTGTTATTGTGTTGTTCGTATGAGCCCAGTCTCTAACCTCCAGCTTAAACAATTGGGCTTTTTGTACCCTATAAGAATCTATAAAGAGGCAATTCTCAGAGTCAATTCCTTTCTGGCAATTATTCAAGGATCTTAAGTAATAGTTATTTCTTGTCCCATAGGGGAGCAACTGAGTGTTAAAACCTAGATAGAGGCCGGGTGCGGTGGCTCACACCTGTAATCCCAGCACTTTGGGAGGCCGAGGCAGGCGGATCACGAGGTCAAGAGATTGAGACCATCCTGGCCAACATGGTGAAACCCCATCTCTACTAAAACTACAAAAATTAGCCGTGCGTGGTGGCGGGCGCCTGTAGTCCCAGCTACTCGGGAGGCTGAGGCAGGAGAATCGCTTGAACTGGAGAGGCAGAAGTGGTACTGAGCCGAGATGGCGCCACTGCCCTCCAGCCTGGCAACCAGAGCGAGACTCCGTCTCAAAAAAAAAAAAAAAAAAAAGTAAAACCATTCAGAATCATTGCAGGTCAGTGTTAAAGATGATGTGAAAAATTAAAACAACAACAACAACAACAAAAACCTAGATAGAAAGAGAAGTGTATGGAACATTGTTCTAAGCACTAAAGAAGTACAATTCACAGCCCACAGCCCATCTGGTAGGCTAGTTGCCAATAAATCTCTATGGGTAACTGCAATTCTGGAAGACATCCACAGCCTTCTAGATACCTTACTACTTTCATTCATCTGACTTGCCAAGACTTTGCAATGCCAATGTTTAGATGTATGATATCATGAGAAGTAGTATAGGTGTTTGGACAAGTGGTACAAGTTATCATGAAAGAAAACAATTAAATCTAACTGGGATCACTTCTAGTGGAAAGGGTACCTGGGTAAAAGGAATGTCCCAGTAAGGCGGAGGTTGCAGTGAGCTGAGATCGTGCCACTGCACTCCAGCCTGGGTGACAGAGCGAGACTCCGTCTCAAAAAAATAAATAAATAAATAAATAAATAAATAGGAAAAAAATAAAAAGGAATGCCCCAGTGCCCCAGTAGATATGAAATAATTTAGAGGTTCCCCACATCCATTTTATTTTTCAAGCCCAAAAATGCTTTAAAATAAGCTGGCAAAACATGTGTTTGCCTTTTACTTATGAAAATCAGTGTTCATTCACCGTTATAAACTAAAGTTTACCTGTTACAGTATGAAAAGCCCTCTTTTTGACATTATCAATTTTAAATTATAGAGACTAAGAAGCATTAATTCATTCTCTAGATTGAGACATTTTTCTCATGTTTCCTTTTCCTGTGAAATGAATGCCCGCAAAATTCACTGCCCTAATTTATAATGCTATACAAAGGTTATATCTCATCTATGATGTTTAACTGTAAGCTACAATTCTAGAAGGTAAACATCAGTTCAATAAATAAATGACTATTTGAGGTGTACGTATATAATTGGAATATTTGTTGAACATCGGGTGGGTAAACTAATTATTTTTAACCACACATGCCACACAGCAAATGGTGTTATTTAATATTTGTTCCTTTTAATTAGTTTTGTATGCTTTTTAAAATTGTTATGCTTAATTTTGCAATCTAATACAAATCTTTTTTGAAAATAAACAGAGGTATAACAATATAACTAAGAACATAAATTTAATTTTGTACTTCTATACCATTCACCTCTAATGCCAGATATGAGTATGTGGAACAAGAATATGCCTCATAACAGTGGTAATGTGATCAGTCCAAAAGCCAAAGTCAAAATGCACATACATTTTCTATTTAATAGGTTTGAAGGCAAAAATCTTTTTCTTCCCAAATGGCTTGTATTTGAATTTAGTCTTTTTTTTTTAATTCCCTTAATATAATTGCCTTCGCACACAGCACAATGGCTAATGCCATCACTTATTTTACATTTGTTTTGCTTCCTGTGTTGAATGGACAATCAGTGTTTACGGATTAGCAGCAGTTGTAGTCTTCTGACTTTTATTCTTTCAAACTCTTTCAAACTGGCGAATGAGCAGCACTTTATGTTTGTTGCTCTGGCATTCCTGGAGTAGCTAGGACATTCACAGTGTAAACCACTGTTATTCATACTATAATAATTCCTTTGCAGTTAAGTCATTACTAGTGATCATAGCAGGCTTGTAGTACAATGCCTTATTTGGGAATGTCATGTGAGATGCCCACAGCAATACAAAAAATAAAGGCCAACTTGTCTGGCTGAGGAGGGATTTATCACTAGCCCTCTGGCAGAGGAGTCTTTTGGGAAGTATTATGTGCTCCTGTGGGGTGGATTATATGATCTGAAATGGAGCAGGTGCTCTGAGCCTCAAAGTAAAGGTGCTATGAAAACCCAGCCACATGCCATTTCTTTTATAATTTATCAAAATTCCAATTGTATTTTCTCTATGCACAAAGCTTTAGCAGAAATTATTTTTCTAATTAAAATATTGACCAATGTGAGCATAAATAAGCAAAAAACACAAAGAAACTGTGGAAATTTCTCTAGACCCCTCTCCCTACTTACCTTCCTGCTTAAAAGCAAACTCAAAAGGCAAATTCACTTTTTCAACTACAAATCTTGTTCTCAGTGTCTGTAACTTGCTGTGAGAGCATTCCTTTTCAAACAGCTGTTTCAAAGGAGACGTAGGATGAGGGCTTTTCATTGTCAATCCCAAGGGCCTCAAGACTTTAATATAGGCTGCCCTAGTGATGAATTTAACACCTTTTCTACTCCAGGCCTAAGCCCCATCTTAAGAGAGAATTTGGAATTTTTAAAGAAGTGGCTCCAAATAAAGAAAAGCAGCAGAGGGAAAGAGAGCAAAAGTGAAAGTTCCAGAACTATCTCATGAACGACCTCAAGTCACTTTTCCCTGTGTGTTTATGTGTGCATGCCTTTACTATTTTAATTAAAAGGAAATAATAATACCCTATCCAGTGAGTGCTAAGAGAAGAAATTATTATTCAGAACCAAAATTTGTATAGCATTGTACTGCTTACAAATCTAACATCTGTATATTTGACCCTCACACACACATGATGAGATGTGGTAAGAATGGACGTAAGTGAGAAAACAAAGCATAACAGAGATTAAGTGAATAAGCTAAGATCACATTATATATACATGCTAGTTTTTTCTTTAACTAAATAGCCAGTGTTCCTTTCAATACACCTAATATGCATTATCAAATTTTTAAGTTATTTCAAAAGAAAAAAGGCTTAAATACAAACTAAAAGCTCTTTCTAGTGCAAAATAATGTTTTTTGAATTTTCTTAGTTGCAAGAACTGGCAAAAATATTTATAACATCCTCCAAACTGCTTGCTCTAGAGAACAAACTAGAAAATTCTACAGGCTTTCTGAGGAACTCAAGAAAAAAACAAGGTTATTTTCCCACCCTGTGGAGTTGCCAGATTTTTGATTCAGATAATTTTTAAACTTCTGAATAAGCATGAAAATAAAGATCCAATTAATAATGTTGACAAGAATTGGAGTGATGGTACCAACCACAGTCACTCAGACCTGCGGTGCTAATATGCCATAATCTTGTGCTACATTTCTGCTCTGTAGTATATGCCCTCCAAAGATGTCTATATCCTAATCTCTGAAACCTGTAAATATTCTACCTTATAAAGCAAAAAGGAATTTGCTGATGCATCTAAGGTAAAGACCCAAAGGTGAGAACCTCATCTCAAATTATTCTGTTCGGCCAAATCTGAGTTCTTAAAAGCAGAGGACCTTTCCCTGCTGGGTCAGAGATAGAGATTCAACAATTGAAGAAGGGTCAGAAAGATGTGAAGTTTGTGGCTTTTACGATGGAAGAAGAGGCCTAAGAGCCAAAAAATGAGTGAGGGCGGGCTTTAGAAGCTACAAAAGATAAGGAACTGTATTATCCTTTAGAGACTAGAAAGAAGGCAGCCCTGTGGACATCTTGAGTTTAGCACAGTGAGACCTGTGTCAGACTTTGAACTATAAAACTACAAGATAATCAACTTGTGTTGTTCTAAGCAATGATATTTGTGGTAGTTTGCTATAACAAAAATTAAAGAAATAAAATAAAAAAATAAATAAACTAATATATGCTTTCTATTTTTTTAAATCTCAGACCCTACTGGTTTGAAAATCTTTAATGTTGTAAGTTGTATCTTGTTATTTTGAGCAGAATTCAGACATTGATTCAGAAACATAATATGGAAAGTACACATGTATATAAATTATAAGCAGATTATAAACACTTATCATTGATTCAACCTGAGTTTATTACCATAATTGCTTATTTTACCCGAATTTTTATACTATCCTATGATGAAGTTGTGATTCCATAGGTGATTTTTATATCATGTCGACTCCGGGAATGGAAAGATTTGATTGAATAAATGTTATATTCATTTGATGACTAACATTTTGTTTGGCAATTAATATTTCTTTTCACGGAATTGGATGAATATATTTTTTAAACAAGCAATGATTTTGACATTAAACATATTGCTTCTATAGAAGTGCCAAAATTGGGGCCGGGCACGGTGGATCATCCCTGTTATCCCAGCATTTTGGGAGGCCGAGGCGGGCGGATCACGAGGCCAGGAGATCCAGACCATCCTGGCTAACACGGTGAAACCCCATCTCTACTAAGAATACAAAAAATTAGCCGGAGAGTGGTGGCGAGCCCCTGTAGTCCCAGCTACTCAGGAGGCTGAGGCAGGAGAATGGCGTGAACCTGGGAGGCGGAGCTTGCAATGAGCCGAGATGGCTCCACTGCACTCCAGCCTGGGTGACAGAGCGAGACTCTGTCTCAAAAAAAAAAAAAAAGAAGAAGTGCCAAAATTGAGCATCATTCATAGTAACATGATAGAAAGATGTGTGGAATAGTATGGTTTGTTGGTCACTGTATTTGAATTAAGTATGGCTTCTGTAATATAATGGACTTCTGTTTTGAAATTCTTGAAAAGCCTCTCATGTGAGGATTTTAATAAAGAAGATGTACCTGTTATTTGGCTTTTCTGTGTTACTTTTTGACAAACTTGCATAACACTGAGAATAACATTGAAAATCGTTGATGAAATGAGAAGTTGCTGTTACATTCGTAGTTAATGTTGTGTATCATGTTTATGGTGAATTTTCTGTCTTCACATATGCTTGATTTGGCTGGCTCAATGGTTACATGTCATTCTTGATCCATTTCAGTCCTGCTTTAAGACAATAATGAAGTCTTTATTTTACATGTCACATTTTCAGCAATATATACAAACACATGAAAGGATTTGTTCCGGAACATTGAAATATTACCAATATTCCTCTCACTTACTCCTTACACTGATGAAATTCACAAAACATGTGACACAACTAACTGCTCCTGGCAAATATATATATGTTTAAGAAAACTATTGCTTAATTTTTTTTTAATACTGGAATTACTATGGCATGGTCTATAACCTCAATTTAGAGTTCAAGTTACTCCATGGACTCACTTGCCTTTCGTGTTTCAACAAGTTATTTTTTTTTAATTTTATCTGAAGTGTCCATAATTTGGGGAATTATTTTATAGTAACTAAATTCATAAAACTCATTTGTAAATTAGAATGTCAATAAATTAATGCACACTGAGAAATGTGTTACCTTATAATCTGAAACAATGAAATTGACTAGTTGAAGGTTTCTCACCTCTGAAGTAAGGGATGGTTGAGAGAGAAATCTAATCCATATGAGAAGCCTGTTTTAGCTAACCAGTTTATTCTTCTGCACTGACAATGTCTTTTGAGATTTTTCTGGTGTAATCTCCCACATTGAGATAATGACTACTATGGCCAAAGATGTCAAACCCAGAGTATCTAGGAAGGACAATGTAAACAATGTTGGCATTAAATATTTCTGGTGCCTGACTTTTTACAAATAACCAAGTGAATAATCCATTCAGAGTTAATCAAGAGTTGAATGAAAATGAACTATTATAAGAACTTGACATTGAAACAGATTTAAATAACTTCTAATGGGCAATTCACTGAGCAAAGCATAGATTATGGAATATAATAATATAATCTTTTAAATATTCTTTAAAAATATTTCTGAGATGTAAATATATTAAAATCAAGCCTCGTGATCATGCTGTTGATATTAGTAATTAAAGCATTTATATTTGTATATTGAATTGTCCAAGATCATACAAACTGTTAATCTAAATCTATGTCCAAAGCTCTTCCAATTACACCTAAAATAAAATAAATAAAAATTAAAACTGTTTAATCTTAATACCCAGTATCAGTGCACTAGGATAGGCTGGCATACCTGTCTCCACCTGCCCTAAAGGTGGATTGAAACACTTTCTTGCACAACATGTGAGCTAAGTCTGGTCGGTTGCTTTTTCATGTTCTAGATTTCATGAACATGTATCTATTTAATATATTGCCACACTAACTTTAAATGTAATGTGGTACAACTGATTTGTTTATACCTTACCTCATACAGTTTTATTTTACTCTTGCTAACATGAGATGCTGTAGAAAGTTTAATTTTCTCAATCTATTGTCAGTTATGCCTTCTTGTGATTATAATAGTCTCATGCTCTTATTGCCTCTAAAACACCAATAGGTGATATTTTACTCTTTCCCCATTCCCCTGCTTTTAGTCATAATATTACAACATGCCCCCAACAGCCACAAATATATTTTGAAGCTGTAATTTTTCTATAGCCATATTTCCAAGATAAATATTTTGGAAACATAAAATGATAATATTAAACCACTCACACACACTTGCCATCTTCTGCCAGCACTCATTGGGTTCCCTGAAGTCCCTTGATGGGATTTGTAAAGTGGTCTAGTCCTACCAGCAGCTCTTTTGCAACTATTAGCGTCAGCTAGCTACCATATTGAGAGCTTATTGTGCATAATATTACATATAAAAAACATCACATGTATTTGGTTTATTTTAAAAGGAAAGAACTAAAAGATCTAGAAATATTAATTAGTATGCCAAAGCTACCAAGTAGCAGAGTCAATTTGGACCTCAGGAAGTTCTATCCGCTTGTGGCTTCAAAGTTCACCTCACTTACTCCTGCCCTCCTCCCCTTTAGCACCCCCTACATCCAGCCAGGTGACCTTCATGCCTTAAATGCAACAGGCATTGTCCTGCCTTTTCTAGTCCATTCTTTCTGCCTAGAATGCTCTTTCTTCAGACACTAGGATGGTGAATAGCCTTATCTCCTCCAAATTTTTGTTCAAATAGTCCTTTTCCATGATACTAAATACACACCCTATTTAAATTGCAACTTTGCCCCGTCCCCCACATCCTGGCACTCCCAATACCCTGTTTCTTATTCTTCATTCATAGCTGTTATCACTATATGCTTTTTTACCCACATTGGTCTAATATAGTTTAAGTTCCATAAGGGGAGTTTTCTGTTTTATTCTTTGGAGAGGAATCTGTTTTGGAAGGGAGTTTTCTCTTTTATTCTTGGAGGGGAATCTGTATTGTTTACTTATGTATACCAAATGCCTAAGGCACATAATAGTCACTCAATAAATGTTTGTTGGATGAATGAATACATGAATAATGATCCCTGCCCCCTTTTCTCTATGTTCTTTCTGATATTCTAAAATCCAATGAAAAGTTTTACAACTGTCTTCATAAAGAAATCTTCACATGGATTCGTTTTTTCTCTCACTAATTAGGAAGCATCTAAACACAGTGATGTCACCTATCTTTTTTTCCATACTGAAAATAAGAATGACAATTAGAGTTTCTGCATTAACCTTCTGTGAGCCAGGGTCTTGTGAGTATGTCTTGACATTTTGCGGGGGTTGAAAATGGCTAATTGTGGTTTATATAAAGGGAATTGAAAGAGAATACACTGATGGTACAAACATTACAGAAAACAAATGTGACTACATTATTCCACAGTTGCAGATTGAACCTAACCATAGTCAGTTGCTCACATAAGTGTATGTGAAAATTCAGGAAGAATTCTGCCTGAAGTATTGAAAGAATTCTGCAAAATATTAAAAGAATCTTATAAAAACTTGTGTAGACAGTGTGGGATGGACCTGTACCTCTTCATCACAAATGTGTAAACTCCAAGCTTCTATTTCTCTAAATATAGTAATTATTTTCCATATGAATTGTAGAAATTTAGTGTGATATTATTTGATACAATGTAGGACCTGTATTCCCTGTGATCGCCAAAAGATATGGATTACTTCTCTGCATCCTATTGAGCACTGACTGCTAATAAATCATTTGAGATTTTACGGCCATGTAGAATCACTTAATTCAGGGTGCTGTTAATCAATATGAATATGATTAAATATTTTCTCTAATATGGGTTCATTAATAATTTCTTCAAGATTATTTTCATTCCATAAAAGTGACAGAATTTTACTTCTTATTTTACAACTATAGTAGACATCTGTTACTTATTGGTCACCCGGCTTTAGAAGCATTTCTTAGGATTGAGAAATTCACTCCCCACAGTAGAACTTCAAAGTGTCAACAGTGACATTCCCAGATGCTCTTGCAATAAAGATTCAGGCACGTCATCTAGATTTTTGCCAGTCAGAGTCCTTCATCCCAGACCTTGAAATTAAACCAATAACCAGGAGACTCAGAGTCAACAATGGAATTCTTCTTGATGCTGAGGAGCAGAGGCAGCAAAGACAGCATCTGGTTTTCAAAGGTAGTCGTAGTATCAGGCTTAGCCCTGGAGTCAAGCTGGCAGGGTGGGCAATGTGAATGGCAGTATTCAGAGACAGTGGTAGTGACTGTGGTGTCACTACCAGTTTCTCAATGATGTTCGGTGAATAGCCTTCAAGCTTTGTTCTCTGGCCTTTCCCATGATTTCTAGAGCTACCCCATGCCTTCTCAATAATTTTTCTTAAGTTTCTGTTTCTTTTTCTTAAAAACCTAGTTTCTAATAAATATTAGATTAAATATTAGATTCTAATAAATATTTACTAGAACATAATCATTAACATAAAACAGTGATAAATTCATACTTCCATGTACTAAAATATTTGTAACCTATATTTATGCCACATCCAACATCTTAAATCACTTCTAATTTTACTATTTATTTAATATTTAAACATAACCTAGTAAAATTAAATGAGCAAAGCAATGTACAAATGATGTAATCTGTAATTATCAGTCTTATTGTTGTCACCAATATAATTGTGGAGCAAGTTACAGTCTTTATACAAGTTTCGTAAACAAAAAAATTCTATTAGGTAATCTGAATTTAATTTCTATAAGTGTGATCACCTCTAATAGTGTACACAACTAGATTCTATTGTCTGCAAATATTAAGCCTTTAAAATAGTGGGGAGAATACTAACTGGGACTCAGGAAATTCTTTTTAAAATATTTTCATACTTCATTCTATAAACCAAACATTCCTTCTGACGAAAGGTCTTAGAGAAGTGCAATTGGATTATTTGTAACTCAAAGGATGAATGCCTGGGGGGATGAATACCCCATTTCCCCATGATGTGTTCATTTCACATTGCATGCCTATATCAAGACATCTCACATGCCATGTATATATAATATATATACATTTTATATATATATTATATATTTAATATATATATTATATATACATTTTATATATATATACACACACACCATATATATACATATATATAATATACCTACTTTGTACTCGCAAAAATTAAAAATAAAAAATTTTAATCTATAAATTTCCCATAAAACTGACATCAACAAAGTGGGCTTGATACACAGTATTAAAAGTATTTTCCATTTAAAGTAACAATATGTGAAGCAATATTGTAAAATATTAAAATGTATTATTCTACTGTTTGTTATATAAAAGTCTTCTGTATTGATCTACAAACTTTTTGAAAAATATTTTCTATTTTAAAATTAAAACACTTTAAAATAAATTAATTCAATAGGATGAATCGTTTTCTTCCATGACAATGTCAGTTGTGCAGTAAAAGTCAGTACACAGGACTGAATGTGACATATTTTTGGAGTAGTTCCTTTTGAATTTTCCACATCTTAAAACTCAAACCATCTTTTACAAACATGTCAGAAAGCTACCATATAATAGACATGAGTTACAGATTAAAACGTATATGTGGATAACAATAGAGACCTAGATATAGGTATATTATTTATCTATACACACTTGGGTAACTTTCACTGAAATTAAGTCTATTATTACTATCAGCGCCTATGAAAAATACATAAACGGTAATAAATAAATAATTCCTGAGAATTGTTCTGGGGATTTTTTGTGGTCAGCTCTTTATGTGATTCACTTTGTGGCTATAAATAGTTTTCTCAAATTGCCATTTGTTTTATTTTTAGTCTTAACATCTAACTGCTAAACTATGGCAACTCCTTTTTCCCCTTGTAGTTGAATAGAAGAAAAATTGATATCGAAAGGTGGGTGCTGCTGAACTTTTTTTGACTAAAATTTTTCCTGTTTCAGATTTCACTTTTAATATTAATCTATTTTTCAAAAGCAGATGCTGATAATTCCCCCACATTGTGCCATGACTTTATGTTATGGAGACAGCCTAATTAGGGATAAAATTAAATCTAATATAATTTTACTTGAATAAGCTCAAATAAAATTGACCTCTGAAGAAAGGAATGAAGCTATAAATTAAACTATTGAATCTCACCAAATTATTAACAAAAAAGACACTTGATTGGTGGGCTAATACATTTTTCTGATATAAATGAAGACTAAAGATGTGGTTTATTCAATGAGATAGTTGTCGTTATAAAAAAATTTGTGTGTTCAAAGTTTGTTCAAAAATGGTAAAAAAAATACTATTCTAGTGAGGATTGGGGCTTTTATCTTATTTAGTACTATGACAATCTATCACCCTAGCAGGCTTCTTACAGTTTGTTATTAGGCATGGTCCTCTGCCCCAGATCTCTTCTATTACAAAGCACTCTATGTGATTCTCTTTGGTTAAGAGTTCTGCGGCTAGGATGAGAACCAAAGTGCCTGCTTGGGAGTACCATCCCAGCAGTTTTCCATGAAGTAACTACAGATATTATATATATATGATATATTACAAAGGTACTTTTCATGAGTATATTAAGTCCTCCAATAGATAAGTAACATAAATAATCTATTAGTTCTTATCAAAGACTATTAACCCCAAATACCAATTCAGGAACTTTAAAATAAACTTTGAAAGATTTTCACTGGAACAAATCATACTATTAGTCTTTAGAAAGCTGATACCTTTTGTACGGCATTAGCTTTCACACTCTTTAAAACATTTATGGTTCTATAAGAATAGTTTATTATTGGTTTTCGATCTATAATATATATGTGACTTAGAGAGGCATCTTGTAATTGTTGTTTCACAGAATTAACAATTACAGGTTTTAGTTTTTCCACGATAAAGAATGACATAAACATATTTCTTTACACACAAAATTAGACTGAAAAACAATCAAGCATTCAAGCTTAGTGAAACAGATTTATTTTAAGAATTAAATAATTGATTAGTTATAATCCTGACTTCAATTGTTCATTTTTAAAGGCCAGTAGTAATTTTAGTAACTAAAATCAATGTTGAAAGCATTTATTTCTGTATTTTCTAAATATTTTTTATGAAATAAAAATAAAGAAAAACTGTGATCAACTTACCATGTTTTATGTTTTTCATTGTTTTATTTTTGAGAATATTGCATACATATGTTTTAATTTTAATTTTTTTCAGCTTTATGAATTTATAATTGAAAAATAAAAATTATATTTACGGTATAAAATGTAATGTTTTGATATATGGACACATTGTGAAATGATTAAACTAATAAACATATTTGTTGCCATACATGTGTATTGCTATTATATGATGAGAACATTTAAAATCTAATCTCTTAGTACTTCTCAAGTATACAATACATTACTATCAACTATAGTCACCAAGCTGTCCCATAAATCTCCAGAGCTTATTCATTGTGTCTAACTGAAACTTCGTCTCTTTGACCAACATATTCCCATTACGCATCCACCCTACCCTCCTCTCCTAGCCTTTGGCAACCACCATTCTATTCTCTGCTTCATGAGTCTGACATTTTTAGATTTCACATATGAGTGAGATCACGCAATATTTGTCTTTCTGTGCCTGGCTTATTTCACTTAGCCTAATGTCCTTCAGGTTCTTTCATGTTGCCTCAAATGACAGAATTTTTTTTCTCAGGTTGAGTAATATGTCATTGCATATATAAACATAGACACACACACACACACACACAATTTTCTGTACCCATTCATCTATTAATAAACACTTGGATTTATCCCATATAGTTACCATGAATAATGCTGCAGATGTCTCTCTGACATATTAATTTTATTACCTTTAGATATATATTTTAAAAGTGTGATTGCAGAATGATACAATAGATCTATTTTAATTTTTTTGAAGATGCTCTGTTTTCCATAATGGCTGTACTAATTAACATTCCCACCAATAATATACAAACTTCCCCTTCTTTCTACGCCTTTGCCAACAACTGTAATCTTTCTTGATTTTGATAATAGTTATTCTAACAAGTGTGAGATCATATCTTATTATGGTTTTAATTTCCATTTCCCTGATGATTTGTGACGTTGAAGATTTTTCTGTATACCTATTGGTCATTTGTACTTCTTCTTTTGAAGACCTGTCTATTCAACTTCTTAGCCTATTTTTAAATCAGTTGTTTACTTGCTATTGAGTTGTTTGAGTTCCCTATATATATAGTATATTAGCCTATTATAAGATCTATGATTTGCAGATGCCATTTATTTATTTGTGATTTTGTTGCTTGTACTCTTAAGCTCTTATCCAAAACAGTTTTGTCAAGACTAATATCAAGGAGCTCTTCTTCTATGTTTTCTTTTCTAGTAGTTTTACAGTTTCAGGTTTCCTTGTTTGCAGATGACATTCTCTTATATATAGAAAATTTGAAAGATTCCACCAAAAAAAACTATTAGAACTTATAAACAAATTGAGTAGAGTCGTGGGATAGAAAATCAACATACAAAATAAACAGAAGCCTTTTTATACACTAACACCAAACTATCCAAAAAATAAATCAAGAAACCAATCTCATTTACAATGCCATAAAAAATAGGAGTAAATCAATGAAGTGAAAAATCTGTACACTAAAAACTATAAAACATTGAGGAAAGAAATTAAAGAAGACACAAATAAATGGAAAGATGGTTTGTGTCACAGATTAGAAGAGTTCATATTGTTAAAACAGAGTTAAAATAGGGTAGAGCAAGAAGGCCAAATAGGAGCCTCCACCAATCATCTCATCTAGAAGAATACCAAATTTAACAATTATCTACACAAAAAATCAGCTTCATAAGAACCAAAATGTAAGGACAAGCTTAGCCACAGTGGGGTAGAACATGAAGCAGGCTCTTGTGATCCCTGATTCCAGGTCTTGACTCTTAGGCAGTGTTTCTGGACCTGCCCAGGGCCAGAGGGAAGCCCACTGCCCTGAAGAGTGAGTCCTAGTCCTGGCAGCATTCACCAAAAGCTGACCAAGGAGCTCTCGAACTTTAAGTGAACATTGCCAGTAGCCTGGCAGTACTCCCCATGGGCCTGCAGTGCAGGTGGCTATGGGGAGAGGCTCCTCCGCCTATGGAAAGAGGAGGAAAAATGTGTAATACTTTGCCTCATGGTTTAAGTTTAAACTTAGCTGCAGTAGAATAGAGCACCAGGCAAATTTCTAAGGTTTTTCACTCCAGGCCCTGGCTCCTGGACAGCATGCCTAGGGCATGGGGGAACACACCACCATGAAGGGAAGAAAATAAGCCGGCTGGCTTTGCAACCTGCTGATTGTAGAGCCCTAAGGCCTTGAGCAAATACAGGCAGTATTCAGGTACTGGTTAGAGCAGGCCTTAAGTAAGACCCCGTGTTGTGCTGGCTTCACGGCTGACCTAGCATAGTCCCATTGTTGGTGGCCACAGGAGTGCTTGTGTCACCCCACCCCCAGCTCCAGGTAGTTCAGAACAGAGAGAAAGAGAGACTACATTTGTTGGGGAGAATGTAAAGGAAGAAAATAATAGTTTCTGCCCGGTAAACCATAGAATTCTATCAGATCTTACCCAGGAACCAAGGTGGTACCTCAATGAATCTGCAAGAACCATAGTGTAACTGGGCTTGGGGTGCCCCTTAATGCATGTGTGGTTCAGATCACAACAATCAAGTCCCTTCAAATACCTGTAAAGTCTTCCTAAGAAGAAAAGATACAAACAAGCCCAGACTGTGAAGACTACAATAAATGCCTACCTCTTCAATGCCCAGACACTGACCAACATCCACAAGCATCAAGATCATCCAGGAAAACATGATCTCACCAAATGAACTAAATAAGACATCAGGGACCAATCCTGGAGAAACAGATATGTGACCTTTTAGGCAAAGAATTTAAAATAGCTGTGTTGAGGAAACTCAACTAAATTCAAGATAACACAAAGAAGGAATTCAGAATTCCATTAGGTAAATTTAAGAAAGAGATGGAGATAGTTTTAAAAAATCAAGCAGAATTTCTGGAGCTGAAAAATATAATTTGCATACTGAAGAATGCATCAGAGACCTTCAAAAGAAGAATTGATCAAGCAGAAGAATGAATTAGTGAGTTTGAAGAAAGGCTATTTGAAAGCACACAGTCAGAGGAAAGGAAAGAAAAATGAATAAAAAACAATTAAGCACGCCAACGGGATACAGAAAATAGCCTTTAAGAGTTACTGGCCTTAAAGAGGAGGTATAGAAAGAGATATGGGTAGAAAGTTTATTCAAGAAGATAATAACAGAGAACTTCTAAACCTAGAAGTTCCATACCTACAGGAAGATATCAATATCCAAGTACAAGAAGGTTATAGAAAACCAAGCAGAAGTAACCCAAAGTAGACTACACCAAGGCATTGAATAATCAAACTCTCAAAGGTCAAGGATAAAGGAAGGATTCTAAAAGCAGCAAGAGAAAAGAAACAAATAACATACTGTGGAGCTCCAATACATTTGACAGCAGACTTTTCAGTGGAAACCATACAGGCCAGGAGAGAGTGGCATGACATATTTAAAGTGCTAAAGGAAAAAACTTTTACTCTAGAATAGTGCACCAGAGAAAATGCCCTTCAAACATGAAGAATAAATAAAGACTTACCCAGACTAACAAAAGCTAACAAAAGCTGAGGGATTTCCTCAACACCACAGCTGTCCTACAAGAAATGCTAAAGGGAGTACTTCAATCAGAAAGAAAAAGGACTTTAATGAGCAAAAAGAAATCATTTGAAGGTACAAAACTTAATGGTAATAGTAAGGACACAGACATAGAATATTGTAACACTGTAATTACAGTGTATAAACTACCCTTACATAGAAAGACTAAAAGATAAGCCAATCAAAAAAATAGCTACAACAATGTTTCAGACATAGAGAAAACAATAGGATATAAATTAAAACAATAAAATGTTTAAAAGCAGGGTAACAAAATTAAAGTGTAGAGATTTTATTAGCTTTTTTTGATTGTTTATTCATGCAATCAGTGTTGTCATCAGTTTAAAATAATGGGTTATTTGATAGTATTTGCCAGCCTCATGGTAACCTCAAATCAAAAAAACATACAATGGATACACAAAAAACAAAAAGCAAGAAATTAAATTCTACTACTAGAGAAAAATCACCTTCACTAAAAGGAAGACAGGAAGAAAGGAAAGAAGGAAAACAAGAGAAGAAAACCATCAGAAAACAAAAAAATGACAGGAGTAAGTTCTTACTTATTACTAATAACGTTGAATGCAAACGTTCTAAACACTCCAATAAAAAGACAGAGAGGCTGAATGAATTTAAAAAACAAAGTGTAACAATCTGTTGCTTACAAAAAGACATTTCACCCATAAAAACACACATAGACTGAAAATAACAGGATGGAAAAAGATATTCCATGAAACTGGAAACTAAATGCAAGCAGGAGCTATACTTACATGATACAAAATAGATTTCAAGACAAAAAACTGTTACAAGAGACAAAGTAGGTCATTAAATAGTGATAAAGGGGTCGAGAAGATATGAAATTGTAAATATATATGAAGTCAACACTGGAGCACATTCTTCTGCTCAACACATATATCCTTCTCAAGAATAGATCATATGTTAGATCACAAAACAAGTCTTAAAACATTCAAAATAAAGTTGAAATCATATCAAGTATCTTCTCTGACCACAACGAAATGAAACTAGAAATTAACAACAAAAGGGATATATTCTTATGTGACTAGTATGTAAATGAAGAAATGAAGAAGAAAATTGAAAACTTTATTGATATAGATGATATTGGAGACACAACATACCAAAACCTATGGGATACAGCTAAAGCAGTACTAAGAGGGAAGTTTATAGCTGTAACAAACTACACCAAAAAAGTAGAAAAACTACAAATAGCAACTTAACTATGCATCTTAAAGAATTAGAAAACAAGAGCAAACCAAACTCAAAATCAGAAGAAAAAAATGATAAAGGTTAGAGCATAAATAAATAAAATTGAAATAAAGAAAGCAATACAAAAGATCAATGAAATGAAAAGTTGTTTTTTTCAAAAGATGAACAAAATTGACAAAACTGTAGCCAGACTAAGAAAAAAACACAGAAGAGCCAAATAAATAAAATGAGAGATGAAAAAGGAGATATGCTTTTTCAGAGAAAAAAAGTAGAAATACAGACAATACTGCAGAAATTCAAAGGATCATTAGTGGCTACTATGAGAAACTAAATGCCAATAAATTAGAAAAACTGGAGAAATAATAAATTCTTATACACATACAATCCACCAAGATTGAACTATGAAAAAATCCAAAATGTAAACAGCCCAATAACACATAACAAAATGGAAACCACAACAGTTTCCCAGTAAAGAAAAGCCCAGGACTTGATAGATTCACTGCTGAATTCCACCAACCATTTAACTAAGAGCAAATCCTAATCCTACTCAAAGTATTCCAGAAAATAGAGAAGGATGAAATACTTACAAACTCATTCTACTAGGTCAGTATTATCCTGATCCCAAAACCAGACAAATATACATCAAAAAATAAAACTGTAAGCCAATATCTCAGATGAATATTGATACTAAAATCCTCAACAAAGTACTAGCAAACCAAATTCAGCAACACATTAAAAAGATCATTCATAATGATCGATATAGTTTGGCTCTGTATTCCCACCTAAATCTCATCTAGAATTGTAATTCCCATAATCCCCATGTGTCAAGGGAGATACCTGGTGGGAGGTAATTAGATCACGTGGGTGGTTCCCCCATGCTGTTCTCATGATAGTGAGTTCTCATGACATCTGATGGTTTTACAACTGTTTGACAGTTGGTCCTTCATATGTTCTCTCTCACTTGCCACCATGTAAGACGTGCCTGGTTCCCCTTCTGCCGTGATTGTAAGTTTTCTGAGGCCTCCCGAGCCATGTGAAACTGTGAGTCAATTAAACCTCTTTTCTTTATAAGTTACCCAGTCTTGGGTATTTCTTTATAACAGTGTGAGAACAAACTAATACAAGACCAAGTGGGATTTACTACAGGAATGCAAGAATGATTCAACATATGCAAATCAATCAATGTGATACATCATATAAACAGAATGAAGGAAAAAACCGTATCATTATTTTAATGGATGTGAAAAAAGCATTTGAAAAAATTCAATATATATTCATGATAAAAACCCTCAAAAAACTACTCATAGAAGGAACTTATCTTAGCATAATAAAAACCATCTATGACAGACCCACAGCTAGTATCATACTGAATGGGGGAAAATGGAAAGCTTTCCCTAAGATTGGGAAGATGACAAGAATACTCACATTCACTATTATTTAACATAGTACCAGAAGTTCTAGCTCAAGCAATCAGACAAGAGAAAGAAATAAAGAGCAACCAAATTGTAAAGCAGTAAGTCAAATTATCTTTGGTTGCAGAAGATAGGATCTTATATTTGGAAAAACCTAAAGACCCCACCCTTATATTTGGAAAAACCTAAAGACCCCACCAAAAAACTGTTAGAACTGATGAACAAATTCAGTAAAATGGCAGGATACGAAATCAACATATGAAAATTATTAGCATTTCTGTAAGCCAACAGCAAGCCATCTGAAAAGAAAATCATAAAAATTAATCTTATTTACTATAACTACAAATAAATTTAAATATCTAGGCATTAACTAAAGATGTGAAAGATCTCTATAATGAAAACGATAAAACATTAATGCAAGAAATTGAAAAGAGCACAAAAGAATGAAAAGATATTCCCTGTTCATGAATTGGAAGAATCAATATTGTTAAAATGTCCATACAACAAAGGTAATCTACAGATTCAATGCAATCCTTATTTAAATGCCAATGATATTCTCCATAGAAATAGAAATAACAATCCTAACATTTATATGGAACCACAAAGGACCCAGAATAGCCAAAGCAATCCTGAGCCTAAAACAAAAACAGAATAACAACAAAAACACCTGGAGGAATCACCTTACCTCACTTCAAATTCTAATACAGTGTTACAGTTGCCAAAACAGCATGGCACTGGCATATAGACATATAGACTCATGGAACAGAATAAAGAACCCAGAAACAAATTCAAACATTTACAGTAAACTCATTTTTGACAAAGGTGCCAAGAATATACATTGGGGAAAGATAGTCTCTTCAATAAATGGTGCTGGGAAAACTGAATATCCACATGCAAAAGAATGAAACTAGACCTCTATCTCATGCCATATAAAAAAAATGAAATTAAAATGGATTAAATCTAAGACATCAAACTCTGAAACTATTACATGAAAACATTTGGAAAACTCTCAAGTACATTGATCTGGGCAAAGATTTCGTGGGTAGTACCCCACAAGCAGAGGCAATCAAAGCAAAAATGGATGAATGGGATCACATCAAGTTAAAAAGCCTCTGCACAGCAAAGGAAACAACGAAGCGTGGAAACAACCCACATAATAGAAGAAAATATTTGAAAACTATCCATCTAACAAAGGATTAATAACCAGAATAGATAAGGAGCTCAAACGACTCTAAAAAAATAAAAATCTAATTATCTGCTTACAAAATGGACAAAAGATCTGACTAGACAAAAGAAGACATAGAAATGGCAAACACAGGCATATGAAAGGTATGGGACATCATTGAGCATCAGAGAAATACAAGTCAAAACCACGGTGAGATATCATCTCATCTCAGTTGAAATGGCTTTTATCCAAAAGACAGGCAATTAACAAATGCTAGCTAGAATGTAGAGAGATGGGAACCCTCATACACAGCTGGTACATTAGTACAACCACTATGGAGAACAGCTTGGAGGTTCCTCAAAAAAAAAAACTAGAAGTGACATTGTCATATGATCAAGCCATCTCACTGCTGGATATAGACCCAAAAGAAAGGAAATCAGTGTATTGAAGAGATGTCTGCACTCCCATGTTTATTGCAGCACTATTAACAATAGCCAAGATTTGGAAGCAATCTAAGTGCCCATCCTCAGATGAATGGATAAAGAAAATGTGGTATACATACACGTATACTATTCGGCTATAAAACAGAAAGAGATTCTGTCGTTTGCAAGAACTAGATGGAACTGGAGATCATTATGCTAAGTGAAATAAACCAGGCACAGAGAGACAAACTTGACAATGTTCTCACTTATTTGTAGGAGATAAAAATTAAGACAAGTGAATTCACGGAGTTATAGTTTAGAAAGATGGTTACCAGGGGCTGGGAAAGGTAGGGGTGGGGGGTATGAAGAAAGTGGGGATGATTAATTGGTACAAAAAAATAGAAAGAATGAGTAAGATCTAGAATTTGATAGCACAACAGAGTGACTATAGTCAATAATAATTTAATTATATATTTTAAAATAACTAAAAGTATATAATTGGATTGTTTGTAACACAAACAGTAAATACTTGAGGTGATAGGTATCCCATTTACCCTGAAGTGATTATTATACAGTTTATGACTGTATCAAAAGTTCTCTTGTACCCCATAAAATATACACTTATAATGTGCTCACAAAAATTAAAAATTGAAAAACAAGACATATATATATATATAATTTAAATGTACATACCACCCAAAGCAATCTACAGGTTCAGTGCAATCCCTATCAAAATTCTGATAACATTTTTCACAGGCTTGGAAAAATCAATTCTAAGACATGTGTGGAACTGTCTTTTTTTATTGTTTTTTTTTTTTTTTTTTTTTTGTCGCTAGGCTGGAGTGCAGTGGCATGATCTCACCTCACTGCAACCTCCGCCTCCCGGGTTCAAGTGATTCTCCTGCCTCAGCCTTCTGAGTAGCTGAGACTACAGGCGCGCACCACCAAGCCCAGCTGATTTTTGTATTTTTAGTAGAGACAGGGTTTCACCATGTTGGCCAGAATGGTCTCGATCTCCTGACCTTGTGATCCACCCGCTTCGGCCTCCCAAATTGCTGGGATTACAGGCGTGAGCCGCCATGCCCGGCCATGTGTGGAACTGTCTAAGACCCAGAGATAGGCAATGTAATCTCAAGTAAAAAGAACAAAACTGGAGACATCACAGTGCCTAATCTCAAAATATACTACAAAGGTATGGTAATTAAAATGGCATGAAAAACGAACATATAAACCAATGGAATGGGTTAGAAAGCCTAGAAATAAATTCATGGATTTATGGTCAATCGACTTTTGAAAAAGTTGCCAGTGAGGAAATGACAATGAGGAAAGGACAATTTCTTCAATAAATGGTGTTTGGAAAAGTGGATAGCCACCTGTAAAACAATGAAGTTGTGTCCTTATCTCACATCATATAGAAAAATCAGCACAAAGAATAAATATATTTTATTACACAATACTATTAGTTAATTTTTAGTAATATTATCGGTATGAAAAACTATTTCAAGTTAACAATTTTATTTAAAATCCCAAAGATAATAAAAAATTTTGTTTGAAAAAATAATAAAAGATAATATTTATTAACTTCAGCCAAATTAAGATACTCTTAACTCTTTACATACCCTTAAGGAATACTTTGTTTTGATCAATTTAGTTAACTGTTAACATGAATCATTATTGAGCATAGGGTAAATAATGGTTAATTAACTATGTTACATTTGATTTACATTTGAATATTTCCGTAAGAAAGGTTTCTGTATTTCAATATTGTTTCTGGCTTCCCAATAGTCCATATATTCAGGGCAAACAAACAATGTAAAGTGGGGATGTTTAACAGCCATGTAATTAAGGCTTTTTGTTGGGATTTTAAAAGACTCTTTAATTTTTTTTATAATTTCTGATCAATGTGTTTTGTATTGTGATCATTAATGTAAACTCTGTTTCAAAATTCAGAAAGTAAGTTAACTGCATGGCCTTAGTTTCTTCAGAGGTAAAATGGCACAGTTAGATGAATAGGTCTTTAAGTTATCTTCCATATCTAGAACTTTGTAGATTAACAGTAGAATCATGTTATTCCTCTCTTCTTTTTACCCAACATTAAAGCTAATCCTACCCACAATAAAATGTTGAATGTTGAATATTACTAAATAAAGTGAATACATAAATAGGTAGATATATAATGTTAGGACAGCAAAAAATAATTTACTTATAAAGTAAACTGGTTCGATGTTTTCTAATTTGTATTCATTATTGACACATAAAATTCACATTTTGTTGTTATGACCATTGAGATGATATAAAACTATCATAGAAAGCCATCATAGTCGAAATGATCAATGAATCAATTAATATTCCTTTGAAATATATATATATTTATATTCCTGTTACTTGCCACTAAAAATAATGTTCAGTGTTCTTATTATGAAAATATAATTTATATACTTTGTAATTTTAGTTTCAGTATAGGAAACAAAATTGTCATTGAGCTGGTCAAATCCTTTCTTTGTGATGACTGTAATAAATAAAATGTATATATTTGCCATCTGTATTCAAATGTTTTGTATGCATTTGCTCATTTAACAATAATTTATGATAACAGTGCTAAAATATAAAAATAAAATAAATAATTTTCCAATATGTAGAGTGAATGACAAATTTAAATAGGAATTTTACCTTTGATATTTGGAAATGCATTTTGTTTTTCATTTTTTACCGTTTTTTCTTGACTAATACAATTCCAATTGGCCAGAAAAAAATGTTTGAGCAACAAAAGAATAATCTAGTAATATAATCTGGAACTGGAGTGCTGAAAATTTTTTGTTGTTTTCTACACTGTTCTTTATTTTCTACTGTCAGTGCCATTCATGCTTTTTAAAAATTCCTCTGAGTATGCACAGTGTTGATTGGCTCAATTCATGGGAATGACCCATATATGCATTGAAGGGCCAAATTTAGCCTGGAATAATAAAATCAGCCTGTACTAGGCTCATCACAAAGTTAATAAGTGATTAGATGCATTTTGTATTAGTGTTTGTTGAGCAACAAAGTTCAAAAATATCTTTCAGCCTAAGAGTATTTTCCAAAATGTTTAGGCATTTTGACTAATGACCTGACAATGATGCATTTATATTATATACAGTATTTGGAATAGGATTGGTTCACTGGGTCTTCATATTCCAGTTCCCTGGGTCAGTCTGAAAAGATTCTTGGGACAGATCCTGGAAATGCGGCCTGAGGGAGAATGTTAGTTATGCAGGGCATTCACAAATGTATGCAGTGCCACTCACTGACATCTACAAAGGGTCCATTTTATAAATTGTCAAAGAAGCCATTGTGGCGGAATGACACCAGAGAAGAGCTGTCAATTCTATTATTAAATTGACATTCCGCACATGCTGCTTTCAGATGGAGATCCTTAATGAACTTATTCTCCCTCCTTTTTCCCCTGCATCATTTTATCTTCTTTCTTATCCGCTCCTCAAATAGACATCAATTGGTGTTAAAGTGTTGGACAAGTGAGCCCTACAAGAAGCCATCCTTCTGGTTCATTGACAGCTATTTCAAACACCTGGGAGAGAGTCTTCACAACATGTCTGTGGCTTCAGGATGCTACAGTGATTCCTACAAAAACTATGACATCTCCTAGGGTATTGTCAATCAAGCATTTGAGGGTAAAAACAAGAACAAAAAAAAAGTGTGTTTTAAAGCAAGATGATAAATAGTAGTGTAATCCTATTTGTGAAAAGGAAGAAGAGCAAGGCATTGTCTCAATCTACAGAGCACAACACCCAGCTCTTGGATGTTTTTGACAATGAAAAGTGAAGGGCACATGCCTTAGTCAAAACTGAGGGTTTGATACAAGCTGGTTGTTAATTCTCTTGAAAATCTCCATTGTTCTCCTAGTCACTGGAATCGTGTGCTAAACAAGCATTCAATGAAGAAAGTGCCCTATCATCCTTGTTCATTTGTTTAATGTCATTCTTATTGTTATACATCCCGCAAGAGTGTATTTACCAGGTAGCCAGTCTTGTGATCCTGCCCGCTGTGAATCCTCTATGAAGATGACAAGCTCGAAGGGATGGCTAACTTTTGTTCTCAGGGGTGTCTTGTGGTGGATATCCTGTGACTGGCAGCTGTTGGGAAGAAGGACAAGGAGATTTTTACATTTGTTTACTGCCTTGACATTTCCCCATTCCTTCTCACATTGACTATTGTCATTTGTGGAAGAACTGAAATTCCTACCCTTCCAATGCAGATCCCACAGAGCTATGAAGCTATACAGCTATGAAGAAATCATTATGAGAAATAAAAAGTGGCTCAGGCTCACTGCATAATGAAACATCCTGACAGTCTAGCTACTAGAATATAAACATTCCTAAGATTCTTAACAAGACATTTCATCTTATGTTACTCTTTGTGTGAAGCAGAAGCCTTAAATATTGTGTATTCTCATTATGTTGTCAGTAGAATGAGGTCTCCATTAAATTTTTTTGAGTTGTGTCCCACCTGTTTTGCTTTAAACTTTTTGATTTATTTTTACAGCCAGTATTTCTTATGATTTCTTATTACGGCTAGTAAACTGTGTAGAAATTAAGATTTCTCTGGTAGGAAAATGACATATTCACCTGTAGTTCTGCAGTTTTAAATAGTTCATTTTCTCTTTTCTTTTTATCTTCTTTATTTTAGCTTGTTTGCTGCTTAATAATTGCTGTGACTCACAATTTTATAACTTGTTGCTTGACTATAATCTAGTGGTTTTTTACTACAAATCTGAGAGTGATAAAATCTGAGGCTTAGAAAAACCATATGACAGAACTTGCCTGAATGAATAAGCCAAACTGATGGAATTCTCATGCCTAATGTTATCTAAAGCTTTCTGAAAAATATTTTACTGTAGCATATAATTTACTCAACATAAGTGGTTTCTACAGTGCTATTGAAAAGAATTTCTGTCACTTACTGGCATTAGGATGATGATATTTTAAGCCCCTTGATCCAGAGCCTGTGCTTCACAGTCAAGACTAAAAACCAAGACTAAAGCACGATTGCACTTCCTTACTTAAAAAAAGATTGAATGATTTATAGTCTGAGAAAAAAAATCACTATGTCTTCATACGCAGAAATATGTACTAAGTGACGAACTAACTATATATATGTGTGTGTATGTATGTATATCTATACGTGTGTGTATATATATGTATACACATTTTATTTCATGTTATTTAATAATAAAAGTATCTAAAACACTTTAGGATAAGAAAAACTTTGCACATTTCCAATATAATAATTTTAAGTATTTTGAATTGTGTATACAACTTTGATGTTTCTCTTCTTTTTCGCCTCTTAATTCCATTATGTCTTAAAACAATATAAGTGATTGATATAAAGCATTACTGCAAAAAAATCAACAATGTTTTTGAAACTTTTGCTTTATTATATGATCATAAAAATCACTAAAAAATTATTATTAAGAATCTTATAAGATTCTTAGACCTTAGAAAGTCTGCACAGAAGAAAGGCTCTGTAAATATGAACAAGATATGAAATGTGTCAGTTAGAATTCAAGTCTTCAAACCCATCAAAGACTCCATACTGGGGAGAAAACATACAAATGTAAGCTGTGTGGAAAAGACTTCACTTGGAGATCACACCTTCAAGCTCATCATAGAGTCCACATAGGAGAGAAACTGTATAAATATGATACATGTGGGAAGGGTTTCTATTGGAGTCAGGGATTCTAATTCATCAGAGTTCATAGTGGTGATAAATTCCATGAAAGTGAAGAGTCTGGTAAGATTATTCTTTACCAGAGAATCTACAGAGAAATGAAGTTTTGTAAAATGGTGTTCTGTTTTGTTTTGAAGTTCTCAAATGAAAGCTAAAATTTTCCAGTCACTAGAGTTCTTTCAGAAAAAAAAAAAAAAACAATTAAAAAATATAATGTTTCTGCCCAACTTCAACATTTATAATGGTAAGGAGACCACTCAGCAGAAACATTTATTGAGAGGGGTCCCATAAGTGAGTTTGTCAGAACTTTAACGTCAGTCATTGTGCAGGAGCTAGGGCTTGTAAAATATAAAAGTGGTCAGACATTTAACAAAAGTACAGTAATGAATATGCCTAAATCTATGTCCACTGGAATGTGAGCTTGACGAGAAAAGGGACTTTGTTCATTGCCAAGCCTGCAAAGCTATGACATTTCATAACTCAATGTTGGTGCTCAGTACTTTTTGCTAAATGAGTGAAAAGTATGTTTAAAAATGTATTAAGCTCATTTCAAAAAAAATTATTTGGAAAAAGAATCCTGCCAACAATCTTAATAAAACCATTCCAAGTAAATAAATATTATTTAAAATGTAGAATATCAAGGAAAATTGCAATCTGAAATAACATAAATTTGGTTGTAATCATATTAGAATTGGTTTGTATTCTTTGCCTCTTCTCTGCCTTTTTTTTTTTTTTGTAAATTGAAATGAGGTCTCACTATGTTGCCCAGGCTAGTCTCGAACTCGTGGGCTCAAGCAATCCTCTGGCCTCAGCCTCCTGAGTAGCTGGGATTACAGGCATCGCTACGATGCCTTGCTTGTCCTGTCTCAAATAAGGTTATGATGAATTTTTTAACATTTGCTCTCATTCTCTACAGTATAGCATCAGTTTGAGTTTAGCTTTATAGGCATGTGTATGTGCATGTGTGTGTACTTTAAATGACAGTATAAACTGATAAGCAAATTTCGGCTTAACTTTACAAAAAATAGACCACTGCATTTCACATCATTGAACTTATACTACTGCCCTACGTGTTAGGGGAAACTTTTACTGCAATATTTGGAAAGTGTGAGAAATGGTTACTGATGACAAATACTTTTTAATAAATGTCTGTTATTTAAAAATCTGATGTTTTTTGTCTAAATAAAACAAGCATAACCTCTAATGCTGAACTCAGCTGTAAAATTCTGGAATTCCATCACTGTAAGCACAATAGAATTGTAACTTAAATAAAGAATCTACCGTTGTTCATTTTAGAGAAACATTAATATAGGCACAGCACAAGTCAAATGAAATTATAAAGTTACATTTCAGAGACTATTCACATTATTTTAGCATATGCATATATATTTATTATGATTTCTAATATTCCAGGTGTAAAATTTATACAAATCTTTTATTTAGTTATCTATTTATTCAGCAAAAATATGCTAGCATTATATAACATTATGTTATACTACTGGGGATATAACAACAAACAAAGAGAAAAACATCATTGCCTTCATGAAACTTACATTGGACTACAAAGACAGAGTAATTAACAAATTAGTAAATTGTAGGATTAGTAGACAGTAATAAATAAAGCATAAAAGGAGGAGACAGTGATTTTAAATAGGATGGTTAGGAAAGCTATCTCTGAGAAGGTAACAAAAAAAAAAAATATATGCACAATTTCAGCACAGACTTGAGTCCTGTAGGTAAAACACATATCTAGCAGAAGGCATACCCCTGAGGCAAGTTTATATCTGGCTGAGTTCAAGAAAAGTGAGGATATAGCTTGAGTACCAAGAGCAAGGATATAGCTTGAGTACCAAGAGCAAGGATAAGGGTAGTAGAAGATAAGGTCAGAAATATAAAGGAGGTCAGATTATGTAAGGATTTGTAGGGTATTCTATACACTTTGAATTTTAATCTGTATGAAATGGAGGCCATTGGAGAGTTTTGGACAATGGAATAATAATACTTCAATTCTGTTTATATTTTATTTTATTCTATTTTTTTTTTTTTTTAGAAACAGGGTTTCACCATGTTGGCAAAGCTCGTCTCGAACTCCTGACCTCAAGTGATCCACATGCCTCGGCTTCCCAAAGTGTGGGAATACAGGGATGAGCTACCAGACCTGGCCCTGTATGGAGCCAAGAAGATTTGCTGACAGATTATACATGGAGTGTGAAAGCCAAGTATTTTCCCCAAGGTCCTTCACCTTGTGAAGGTGCAAGGGAAAGGATGGAGTCATCATTAACTGAGATTTGGACAACTGTGTAAGGAGCAAGTTTGACGAGTAAAATGAGAAAATTTATTTTGTACATGTTATGTTAAAGATACCAATTAGATAATTAGTTATATATCATACAGAAATAGATGTACAAGGCTGAAGTTCATGGATGAAGTCTGACCTAGGAAAACAAATTTGGAAGTTTACCTCCTATATAAGCTATACAGTTGATATATAACATCAGGAGACTAAATGAAATCACCTAGGAAATATATATATATATTTTTATGTATTTATATATTTATATATTTATATATTTATATATTTTATTTATGTATGTATTTATATATACTTTATATATTTATATATTTATATATACTTATATATTGATATATATTTATATATACTTATATATTTATATATATTTATATATACTTATATATTTATATATATTTATATATACTTATATATTATATATATTTATATATACTTATATATTTATATATATTTATATATTTGTATATATTTTATACATTTATATATTTATATATATTTTTATATAATTTTATATATTTATATATATTTATATATATTTTTATATATTTTTATATTTTTATATATATAGATGGATGGATGAATAAATAGGAAATATATATATTTATATATAATATATAGGAAATATATATATACATATATAATATATAGGAAATATATATATACATATATAATATATAGGAAATATATATATACATATATAATATATAGGAAATATATATATACATATATAATATATAGGAAATATATATATACATATATAATATATAGGAAATATATATATACATATATAATATATAGGAAATATATATATACATATATAATATATAGGAAATATATATATACATATATAATATATAGGAAATATATATATACATATACATATACACACACACACTCCTAGGAAATATATATATATTTATATATATTTATATGTATATTTATATATATTTATATATTTATATATTTTATATATTTATGTATTTATATATACTTTATATATTTATATATACTTATATATTTATATATACTTATATATTTATATATATTTATATATACTTATATATTTATATATATTTATATATACTTATATATTTATATATATTTATATATACTTATATATTTATATATATTTATATATTTATATATATTTTATACATTTATATATATTTTTATATAATTTTATATATTTATATATATTTATATTTTTATATATTTTTATATATTTTTATATTTTTATATATATAGATGGATGGATGAATAAATAGGAAATATATATATTTATATGTAATATATAGGAAATATATATATACATATATAATATATAGGAAATATATATATACATATATAATATATAGGAAATATATATACATATATAATATATAGGAAATATATATATACACATATACACACACACACACACCCCTAGGAAATATATATATATATGGAAGGATGAATAGATAGATGTAGATAGATAGATAGATAGATAGATAGATAGATAGATAGACAGACATGTAGGAAACCCAGGGACTGAGTTCCGGGAAGTTTGAGAGCTAAGAGATTAGGAACAAGATTAGGAACCTCAAAAGGCATAGGCAGTGAAGTATAAGAAAAATCAGAAGAGTAGGTATCCCAACAGCGAAGTCAAAACGGTGTTTGGAAGAAAAGGGATAGATCACCCCTATAATATAGGTCAAGGATGAAGAAGACTAAAAATTTGACATTGCATTTAGCAACAAGGAGGTGATTAGAAACCTAACCTTGAAAAAAGTACAATTTCAATACATTCTGAGGAAAGAGTTATAAACATAACTGGAGTGCTTTTCAGAGGCAATGGGGAAAATGTCATCGGCACTAGTGTAATTTTGGCATTCTTTATAAAATAGTCATAGCAACTAGGATAGCAAGACTAAAGATCTACAGACAATGTCTACAACAAAGTGTAGTGATTAATTCTCTGTGGGAAATCAGGTAATTAATGGCGGCCAGAAAAGAGAAATGATTCATGTTTCTGCAACCCAGAAATAACTGGTGCACAACAGGTTTATTTTGACCTTCCTTTCAAAATAAATAATCAACAAGGAGTTTTATCATTTTATTTTTAAAGTATAATTTTTAAATAAAATGAGATTTTTCTTGTGATGTATGACATGGTATAGGATGATGACTGGGATAATACTATATATTAAACAAAAATGTTGATTGTAAAACATTACAATCCTTATTTAGTAAACTAAAAATGTATAAACTAAAATATAGTAAACTAAAAAAATAGTAATGAACTAAAAATATAGATAGATGAATATATGGATGGACTCATAATACAGAAAGAAATGTTAATAGCAGTTATCTCAGAAATAAAAGATTGTGAGTTATCGTGTGAAATTCACCCCCAATATTTCACGTGGGTTCTTTTCTATTTTCCCTAAGTGTTGGCCGGTATGAGAAATAAAGGGACGGAGTACAAAAGAGAGAAATTTTAAAGCTGGGTGTCCAGGGGAGACATCATAGCCTGGCAGGTTCCGTGATGCCCCCTGAGCCATAAAACCAGCAAGTTTTTATTAGTGATTTTCAAAAGGGGAGGGAGTGTATGAATAGGGTGTGGGTCACAGAGATCACATGCCTCACAAGGTAATAAGATATCACAAGGTAAATGGAGGTAGGGCGAGATCACAGGACCACAGGACCGGGGCAAAATTAAAATTGCTGATGAAGTTTCGGGCACACGTTGTCATTGATAACACCTTATCAGAAAACAGGGTTTCAGAGTAGACAACCGGTCTGACCAAAATTTATTAGGTGGGAATTTCCTCGTCCTAATAAGTCTGGGAGTGCTATGGGAGACTGGGGCTTATTTCATCCCTACAACTGCAAGCGTAAAAGACAGCCGCCCCCAAAGCGGCCATTTTAGAGGCCTACCCTCAGGGACACATTCTCTTTCTCAGGAATGTTCCTTGCTGAGAAAAAGAATTCAGCGATATTTCTCCCATTTGCTTTTGAAAGAAGAGACATATGGCTCTGTTCTTCCCGGCTCACCGGCAGTCAGAGTTTAAGGTTATCTTTCTTGTTCCCTGAACATTGCTGTTATCCTGTTCTTTTTTCAAGGTGCTCAGATTTCATATTGCTCAAACACACTTGCTCAACAAACAATTTGTGCAGTTAACGCAATCATCACAGGGTCCTGAGGCGACATACATCCTCCTCAGTTTAAGAAGATGATGGGATTAAGAGATTAAAGTAAAAACAGGCATGGGAAACCACAAGGGTATTGATTGGGGAAGTGATAAGTGTCCATGAAATCTTCACAATTTATGTTCAGAGATTGCAGTAAAGACAAGCGTAAGAAATTATAAAAGTATTAATTTGGGAAACTAATAAATGTCCATGAAATCTTCACAATTTATGTTCTTCTGCCATGGCTTCAGCCAGTCCCTTTGTTTGGGGTCCCTGACTTCCCACAACAGTGAGTAAATTTGTTCTATCTTGTTTACTTTTCTGTCTTTCAAATTTTCTATTATAATTATATATATATTTTTTCTAATTAAAGAAAGAAAAGTACTGTAATTTCAGAGGATTCTCATTGCCTTAAAATGAACTATAATGTTTTCTCATGAGATACCCTCCTCCAAGCCTTATTTGCCTCGCTGGCCTTGGGACCCTGTTTGTGCACCAGAATTAATGAACTATTTTAAAATCTCCAAATAAGTTATGCTGTTTCAAGCCTTTGTACCATTTCAGATATTATCCTGTCTATTAGAAATATCCCACTCTCTCTCATTCACCTGGTGAATTCACCACGTGAGTTACCTTTGAAGCCTCGCCTCAAATGTTTGTTTTTCTAAGAATCATTACAAAACAGAACATATTTTTAAAATTTGTTTTTTTTTAATTTTTGTGGATACAAAGTAGGTGTACATACTTATGGAGTGCATGCAATGTGAAATAAGCACATCTTGGAGAATGGGGTATCCATCCCCTCAAGCTTTTATCCTTTGAGTTACAGACAATTAATTACATTCTCTAACTTATCTTAAAATATACAATTACATTATTATTGGCTGTAGTCACCTTTTTGTGCTATCAAATAGTATAACTTATTTATTCTTTCTATTTTTTTACCTGTTGACCTTCCCCATCTTTGAAAATATTTTTTCCTCTATCTTCTTTGAATCCCTTATTTCTTTTTGTTCCAGAATTAAGAACAGCTTATTTCTAGTCACCTTATTCCAAGTACATGTCAAATCAAATTGAGAACAAGAAGAAAAGGGAGGAGAGGTCTTTTTATCAGGTTTATTGGAGAAATAAATTAGTGATGTCCTTCAAACTATGGCTTGAATCTAGTTGACCTCATTTTGCATTTGGGTCATTTGTTTCCATGCTTTTCTCTACTCTTCACTTGACCTGCCTAGGATAGCACTGTGTCTTACTGACTTTTGAATTCTTAATACCTAGAAAGCTACTAGCACAAAGAAAATGCTTAATAAAAATTTTTCAATAAATAAATGAATATATGAATATTGGAATGTCTGAGGCATAGCTCCTGTCTTTAAGTTCAGAATTATAGGACCTAAGACAAATATATAAATAAGGCAAAGAAAAACTATTAAAAGCCACAGATAAAAGTGCAGATTTATATCAAAAGTTATTTTTACTCTGTATTATTTTAATGTTATGAGAGAGTCATTTTGATTTAAACAAAATCTTTATTATTGAGTTATCAAATGCCAATAATAAGAACATATGATGGGATATATTGACCAGGCACGGCAGCTCATGCCTGTAATCCTAGCACTTCGGGAGGACAAGGCAGGCCGATCACTTGAGGCCAGGAGTTGGAGACCAGCCTGACCAACATGGTGAAACCCCATATCTACTGAAAACATTTAGCTGAGCATGGTGACGTGCGCCTGTAATCCCAGCTACTAGCGAGGCTGAGGCAGGAGAATCACTGGAGTCCAGAAGGCAGAGGTTGCAGTGAGTCATGATCGCACCACTGCACTCCAGCCTGGGAAACAGAGTGAGACTTCATCTCAAAAAATAAATAAATAAATAAATAAATATACACACATATATATATATATTTATGATATAAATGTGGAAATGACAAGAAAAGTGGGGAGCAAATTTTTAAAGTGAGAGACATGATATTTATTGTTAAAGATATAAATTGACACAAGTTTTCTGGGAATAACTGACAATACTTACTAAAATTAAGTAAAGGTATGCTCTTTGACCCTGGGATCACAGTTCTGGGTGCATACCACAGGGAAATTCTCACAGGGGTAGTATGAGAACAAGTGTGCAGATTTTCACTGTGGCCTTTATTCAAGAGCAAGAAGCCATAGGTAACCAGAAGAATAGGTGAGTAAAATGAGGTGCACACACATATACCATGCAGCAATTAGAAACAACTAAATGTGTATATAAAAATGGATAGCTCTTAAAAGCAGCATTGAACAAAAAGGAAAGATAAAAGCATAATAAGTTTTATAGTCCAATTTCATATGTACAAATTAAAAACACACTTATCCAAATGACTACAGATTTTATTAAAATTACATAAATAGTTAAAGGCATGTCAAAACACAGTAGAATGTGTTCTAATTTTATGAGAACAAGGAAAGTAGAAATCTAGAGTAACAAAAAGTATAACAAGGGATGAAGTTTGCACACACTAATGAGCACTATAACTCAATTCTCTGTTCCCATAATTATAAAATTATGTGTTTATAAGTGATGGACTGTAGCATAGAAAAATTTGACAACTTATAAACAAAATATAATATTAGCAGCCAAATTATGTTTAAAATTTTAGCAATTTGGAGACAAATTTTTAAAATATACACCTTTAAACCCATTTATGAAAATTTTGTGTTACATAACCATTCCTGTAATGAAGTTAGAGAGTCACCAAATCCTTCTTTAGGTTATTTTTATTTATTTGGTTTTAAATATTTTATGTTTTGAAATGATGCTATATTGAGATAAAAACCAGATTGTCTGTTAGGGAGACCAGGGTTATGATAAAAATTTGCAATATAAACTAAAGTAAAGTAAAACAGTGTATAGAGATGCCAGCAACTCAAAATTTATAATTACTCTGGGTTTTAATTACATTATTTTTAAAAATTATTATAAAAAATAGGACTATCCAAGAGACTTCACTGGAAAAATGTGTATAACCGATTTCTAAACACTTATTTATGACTAATAATACATGACTTTTTCATGACTGCTTGATAATACCAGGAGTTTGCAAAGTACAACGGAAACACTATTGATTTGAAAAACTGTCTTGGCTGTCTATACAACTCATTGACTTTGTGATTCTGAACATTTTATTTGCTATCTGTGGATAATAGAGTTCTTGCTACGATTAAATGAGTTAATATAAAATATGTAAAGAGCTTAGAATCTCTGTCACACAATAATGCTACAGCTAGCTATTATTCTGTGAATCTTTATTTCTTTATAATTTGAAGATGATAAGCTTGTAAATTTTCCTGAACTCTAACATGTAATGATAATATCTAGCTGATGAGATTACCAAAAGAATAAGGATGTTTATTTAGCATTCTAAGGAGACCTCACTTAGAAGGTGTCTTAGTTCATTCTTTCTGCTATAACAAAAGACTGGGTAATCTATACTACTGGCTAATCTATAAAGAACAGAAATGTATTTCTTGAAGTTCTAGAGGATGGTAAGTTCAAGATCAAGGTGCCAGCAGATTTGAAGGAACATGGGCATCTTCCTAATGGGTGGAACCTTTTATGTGTCCTCTCATGGAGCAAGAACAAAAAAGAATGAACACTGTACCCTCATGTGGTGGAAGAGATGAAAATTCCAGGAAGCTCTCTGAAGGCTTTTCTCTAAGGGCATTAATCCCATTCGCAAGGATGGGGTTCTCATGACTGAATCACTTCCCCAAGTGCCCCACATCTTAATACTATCAAATTGGGGATTAAGTCTCAACACAAATTTTGGAGAGACACAGACATTAAAAACCATAGCAGAAGTTAATATTTAAGCAAGTATTCAAAGGAAGGGAAGAAATCAGGTCTGCAGATATCTTGGGCAATAATATTCTAGACAGAGAAGGTAGTAAGTGAGAAAAGACCTGAAGAGAGAGATTTTACTGGCATGTTATGGGGACAGCAAGGAGGCCAGCATTGCCGGAGCCGAATGAGTGAAGAAGAAAAAATGGCCTGGGTGGGTTGGTTCACACCTGTAATCTCAGCACTTTGGGAGGCCAAGGTGTGTGGATCACCTGAAGTCAGGAGTTTGAGACCAGCCGGACCAACATGGCGAAACCCTGTCTCTACTCAAAATACAAAAATTAGCTGAGTGTGGTGGCCATCACCTGTAATTACAGCTACTTGGGAGGCTGAGGCAGGAGAGTCACTTGAACTTGAGAGGCAAGGAGATAGCAGTGAGCTGAGATTGTGCCATTGCACGCCAGCCTGGGCGACAGAGCAAGACTCCATCTAAAAAAAAAGAAAAAAGAAAAAAGAAAAAAAGGAAGACATGAAATTGGAGAAATCTTGACAACCCAGGACACAGTTTTTTGTAAGACATTTTAAGAACTTTGCTCTGAGAAAGAGAGGAAGCCCCTGGAGGGTTTTGAAGACTGGTGACATGATTTACTTGAATTTCAAAAAGGAGCATTCTGACATCCGTTTTGAGAATAAATCAAAGGGATCCAAGCACTGAATTAGGGAGAAACATTAGGATACTCTTCCAATAATCCAGCTAGAAATGATGGTAGAGATAGGAAAGAGAAGAAAGAATTTTTTTTTTTTTTACGTGCTGTGTGAAAACAAAGCATTGAGAAGACAATTTGATTTTTTTAAAATCTGGAGTTTAGGAGATCAATTCAGGCTGTGGAAATAAACATGAGAATTGACAGTTGTCAGAAAATATAAAACCTGAGAATTGTTTAGCAACATGAATCTCATTGGAGGCAAGAAGAATTTCAAGAGAATAATGAGGTAAAAGCTATTTGGACTGAATTAAGAAACAATGGAAGGAGGGGAATTGGAGAGAAATAGCATAAATACATTTTGGAGAAGATTTGCTGTAAAGAGGGGCAGAGGTGGAGCAGTAAGTCAAGAAAAGACTTTTAAAATTGATATATCTTTGCCTGTTAGCAAGAATGATTTAATAAAGAGAGAAAATTTGGTTGTTCCATAAAGTTGGGAGAATTTCTAGAGCTATGTTCATAAACAAGGAGGGTTTTTTGTTTGTTTGTTTGTTTGTTTGTTTTTGAGATAGAGTCCTGCTCATTCGCCCAGGCTGGAGTGCAGTGGCACAATCTGGGCTCGCTGCAACCTCCACCTCCCAGGCTCAAGCCATTCTTCTGCCTCAGCCTCCGGAGTAGCTGGGATTACAGGCAACTGCCACCATGCCTGGCTAATTTTTATATTTTTAGTAGAGACGGGTTTCACCATGTTGGCCAGGCTGGTCTTGAACTCCTGACCTCAGGCGATCTGCCATCCTCGGCCTGCCGAAATGCTGGTATTACAGGGGTGAGCCACCGCGCCCGGCCAGCAAGGAGGGTTTTAATCACATGCAAAAGTGATTCTTACTTAACCTAAGAAAGGATTACAGATAGCCTACCTACAGTTACAGGAGAGAAAACAGAGTATGTGGAACATCTGTAAGTAGTAACTTACTTTTCACTGTGGTGACAACTTAGGCGGTTTTTTCCTCTTGTGAGAGCTAAGCAATTTTCTTAAAGAAAGGTTTCTTAAACAAGGTTAGTGAGTTTAGTGATGTTTTGCTGGTGATTTGAGAAAAGAAAGTTTAAGATACAAATTAAAAGTAGTAGGAGAACCAATTGGCAAAGAAAATGTATAAATTTCGAAGTCATAAGTTAAAAGTGAGAGCAATCCGGATGCTAGGGTGTTTTGTTCCAGCTACACTCATTAGCAAAGGTTCAGGTGCACAGATGGCAGAGTTGATTTCCACCAGGTTTGAGGTTTTGCCAAGAGAGCATTCAAAAGCAAAAAAGAGACAAATGAGTTAACAGAATTTGCAACGGAGTGATCACAGTGATGGCCACAGGATGTAGTGAGGTAAGAAGGTGAGGACATGAGGGGAGTGAGAGATAGTGAAAATTTAGATCAATAGATTGTATTCTCAATGAAATTGAGAAATAGTGTGAATTCACAAGTTATATGGACTTGGCCAGGAAAACAGGAGATAAGAGTCAGAGAGGAAGATACTTGAAATTGAGATTACTGGTGATTGATCACACAAAACTAGTATGTAATCATGGGAGTGATTGGATAAAGAAGGGCAGAAAATAAAATTATTTCACCTAAGTTGGAATACATTAGAAGAACAAGTGATTCTTTTGTTTAACTCACATTTTAACTCACCCACCTATGTGGGTGGTGGTCAGAGGAGGTGTTAGGTAGACACTGCTTCCCACACCCGTTGAAGGAGTCAGACTAACAAAGACTTTCCCATATTGAGGCTGCACCATACAGAGCACATGGTTCTATGTTTGTATCCAAGGGAGGAAAGAAAGCTGGAGGTATTCTTGCCAAATATTATATCCTTTGATACAGTCCATTGACCAGAATTAGTCACATGGCCTTGCCTAACTGAAGGGGGCTAGGAAAAGTGTGGGAACACATAGATATTTGGTAAGCAACAAAAGTTGCTGAGACATCTGGTACGTGAAGATGAATGATGCAAAGACAGGTGGTTGTTGGTTTATTCCCCATACTGCTGCCAAAACAGGCTTTCTAAAATGCAAATCTCACTGTGTCCTTGGCATACTAAGAATCCTACAGTGAGTAACTTTACGATATAAAAACTTTACCTCGGTTGACAGGAGTAGGGAGAGATTCCAGTAGCTCCTCCTAAAGTTTAGAATAAATTTCAAACTTCTGAGTTTCACAAATAAGATCTTGTGTTGTCTGGCCCTTTCTACTTCCCCAGGTCCTGCTAGTTCACTGCTATATTATATTGCACCTGGGATACTCTTGCCCCATTGACATGTAACTACCTCCTACTGCCTCAAAATTCAGTTTAAATGTATCTGTTTCTGAGAAACTTCCCTATGTGCCTCCCATGCCTACATCAGCTTTTGTTTGATGTCTTTCTGTTTGGAATTCTGCAGAACTCTAAGATTTTACACCAGTGGCCTCTATTACTGTTGATTCATGTTTCTCAGCCTCCTAGTTACCCCCCTGAAGGGCAGAACCATGTGTAATTTGACTTTATATACCCAGTGATTAAAAGTTTCTGGTACATAGAGCAGGCAATTAATAAACTTTGTTAAATGAATGAATGAATATTTATTTGTCTTTGTTATAATTTTATTTATTCTTTTGGCTTTTCATAAAATGCAGATTTTTTTAATCCAACTGTTTTTCTTTTTAAAGGATCAGCATGAGTTGTTGTTATCAAATGTTATCTTTTATTCCTCAGCATGTCCAACGCTCCGAGCAACCATTTTTCTTTCTGTAGAGCTTAATATATCTTTGAATAATTAGTATTTAAACCATTAAAGACCTTCTCTTGGAAAATTATCATGATAATAATAAAACCACAAAAATGTCTTTCATCTGTGCCTTAATAAAATACAATTAAAATTTAATAAAAGCTCTGAATTTCCATTTATCAAATTCTGCATATCCTGAGGGAGGTAACAGCGGTGTTACAACCAGACCAATTAAATAGCCAGTTGTAGTTAAACTCTTTAATTGACATAAAGGTGATTGTAATTCTGTACTTACCATTCCGGTGTTGCTCATGGCCTTTTTGAACAGAATGTCCATTTTTATTCAGTCCCATCTATATTTCAGTATGCTACAAAAAGTTCTTACTTTATTGTATTTAATATTATAATGATGTTTCTATCATATTTTCTTGGTTGCCCATTTTTCTTCCAATAGATTAATTAGTCTAAATACCATCATTTTGAAATGCATTCCCCCTCACATAATTTAACACCATTGTTGCCACAGAGAAGGGGAAAACGATTAGAAGTGGAATACATATTTTTAAGTGGCTACATTTCATTTAAAAATACAAGAAGCAGGAATATTTTCCAAACATCTAAAATACCCACAATGGATTTTTGCGGAAGCAGTAAAACATTTTTCCATTAATAAAATTTGAAGAATTCATTGCAAAACATTAGTGAAAAGTAAGTTAAACATATGTCACCTTCTTTTAGGCATTTTTTTCAAAAATAATTGAGGCCCACAGTCTTCATTTTATTGAGGACAATCATAGGCTATTTGGTCAGATATTTTATGATACAGGTATCTGCTACTATAAGTTGCTGTTGTAAATATACATATATATCTGAATGTATGGAAACACTGCTGGAAAGATAAATAAGACAATTCGAGAATGTAAAAATATTTCCTTTCTCCATCTCCATCAGCTGGTGGTTTCTGAGGGAAAGCTAAGTACACACATACTTATTTTGTGGTTTGTTTTGATTAAGCACTGAATAGACCTTACCATTGCTTAATAAGATATTTAAAATTCCAACAGGAAAGATATGTTCTATATTTCAAACCCAATAAATCACAGTTGCAGCTTTCAGTTGAGACATTTATCTGGCAAACTTAGAAAAGCCAGCAGAAACATAATGGCAGCTCTTCTTTTTTTTTTTTTTAACTTTTTGTAGCCAGAAAAAACAAGACTGGTATTTTTTAAGTGTAATCTTCATAGAGTTATAGTAAAAGTCAACAGAGTATAATGCTTTTAAATAATTAAGAGCCATATATTTTGGAGGGTTGTGTTCAAACTCAATATTTATATATATATATATTTTTCCTTTGGTATTATTATCAATCACTGGTGTTCTTATGTCTTATAAACCTAGAACTCAATATAGTTTTTAAAAAATTATTATAAGTAACATGTAGTGTTTTTAAAAATATTTCAAAATTCTGTGAGTTTTATTTTTTATAAGGGCAGATATTTCTTAGGAGCTACTGCGACAGATGAATACATTGGAAGAAAATTACAGATTTAGAAGTTAATTAAAACATTGCCATTCCTGTAATAGCCAATCAAGTAATTAAAACTGTTTCACTTGCTTTCATTTGTTAAATATGCTACTGAAAATTATAATGTTAATTCCAGAGAAAGGAAAATATTATGACATGCATTTTGCTGACTTTCCATCTGACTGGAGTTATGTTAGATCTAGTTTAACAATACCAACTACATAACACCAGCTTGAGTCTCTGTCAGGCATTCGTATTTAGTTACGTGTGCTTAATTTCTGATACATACTGAAATGTCACTTTCGTTGTGTTTACTAATTTACCTGGTTAAACTTTTAATTACATTATTTGTGTACCCAAGTTAATGTGTTAGTTCACTAAAATGGCTTAAGTAATATTCCTTTCCAGGGACTGCTGCTTTAGCGGCAGTAGGAAACATGATGGACTGTGTGCATTTTCAGGGTCATCTTGAGGAAATGTTTTGTTGTACACCGAAACAATGTTTTTATTTTTAACAGTGATCTTTTAAAATGTGAATATATACTGTTTTGAAATTTCCCAATAAAACAATTTCAAGATGAAATGGAACTCTGTTCTTGTGTTTTCAGGAGTTAGGGGGTTTGAAATTTTCCAACTGCTAATGTTTAATGCAATCTGGTCATTCTCAATCGTGGCTGGACAGTTTTGAAAGTAATTAAAACCCATGCCTCAGCTCACACCAAAACACTCATAGTGTCCGTGGATGGGGACAAAGGACAGATACTAAACAAAGGGAAGGGGGTTGAATGTACCATGAGTTAGAGAGCTAAGACTAAAAAACCTTTGTGTTATTTTATTAGAGGTAGCAGTTTGGAAATGTTCATTCAAACATTTCTATGAACAGTTCTTAATAAATATTTTAGTTTCTAGGAAGAGAATAAATTCATCTCTACTGCAGATTAATTCAAACAAAATAATCATATAAAAAACTCAATAACCATAATAAATTAGGCTATTTTATTAAAGAAAAAGATTTCAAACAGGCAGATAATGCCTACTTTTTCTTTTGCAAACTCATTGCCCTAATCTGCAGTTTATGAAGTATTTGTAAGTCTCCGGAATGGCTTCTCTCTAGGGAGTTTACTGTGTAGTTGGGGAGAAAAGGCAACATCAGGTACTATTGGTGCCCTGTCAAGATCCCCTCTAATGCTTCTTACTGGTTTTATGTGATTTTGCTGGTAATGGCTCAGTTTTGCTGGTGATGCCTCACATCCAGAACAGCCTTCTCCAGAGGATTGTCCGTGAACTCCTGCAACTTTCTAGACTACTTGTGCCACAGATTTCCACCACCAGCAGCAGCCCTAGCTCCCCATCCACAGCCTGGAGCCAGTGACTGACTGGTGCAGCGTCCACTGCATGAAGACTCCGCTACATCACTTTTAGGTGGGACAATCCTGGCAGACTAATTTACACGCCAGAACTGCCCACGGGATCAGGCTGAGGCTACACTTCATCTGATTACACTCTTTTTTTTTTTTTTTTTTTTTAGACGGAGTTTTTTTGCTCTTGTTGCCCAGGCTGGAGTGCAATGGCGCGATCTCAGCTCACTGCAACCTCTGCCTCCCGGGTTCAAGCAATTCTCCTGCCTCAGCCTCCCGAGTAGCTGGGATTACAGGCATGCACCACCAGGCCTGGCTAATTTTGTATTTTTAGCAGAGACAGGGTTTCACCATGTTGGTCAGGCTAGTCTTGAACTCCCGACCTCAGGTGATCCACCTGCCTCAGCCTCCCAAAGTGCTGGGATTACAGGCGTGAGCCACCGCGCCCAGCTCACCTGATTACACTCTTGCTTAGCTTCTTCTCTTTCCTGTCCTGCCTGCCTCAAGCCCTAATCACTTGCTCATGAATCTTTCTTATTTTCTGGGGAAACCAGCCTAAAACATCAGACTATCATCTAATATAAAGAAATATGGAACAAGTAAAGAACACAATAATGATACCGAAAATGGTAGCTAACATTAGCAGAGTGCCTACTATGTGGCAGGCACCATGCAAAAGAAAACCTGCATAAAATTATCTATTACTTTATTTAATCCTTATAATATTCACTATTATTATCACTACCTACCCCTTCCCAATTTGCGGATACAGAATCAGAAGTTTTGAGTGGGTAAGCAATTTTCCCAATGCTGCCAGCTAACTAAGGAACCCAGGCCCTTTAAATCCAGAGTCTACAGTTTTAACCTCTTGTCTATAAATCCAGTACTTAAATGAGCTGTAATGGATATAGATTCATAAAGCATAGAAATCAGGGGAAGCTCAAGGCATATAGTGCAGAGGTTGGGGTCCGACAGACCTGTGCTCTCATCAGGGACCAATCACATATGAATTGTGCTGATTAGCATAGCTACTCAAGTTAACATTTGCAATAACTTCTACCTTGTCAAATTGTTTTGAAGGATTCCATGAAGCTCATATTTAAAGTGCTTAGCGTAGGAGTTACTGAAAATAACAACAACTAAAATTATTCCACATACTCACATCCATTTCTTGGAGTCATTCAGTAACTTAAAATGTACAGTATCAAAATAGCAGATGCATAACATGTGTCTTACAGAATTGAAGTTACTAAAACAGAGGTTTGGTTCATTCATCAATAATGTGAAGTAAAATATATATATATGTGTATACTTTAGTAAAATATATATATATGTATATATAGATGCATAACATGTTTCTTACAGAACTGAAGTTACTAAAACAGAGATTTGGTTCATTCATCAATAATGTGAAGTAAAAAGTATATATATATACTTTAGTAAAATATATATATATGTATATATAGATGCATAACATGTTTCTTACAGAACTGAAGTTACTAAAACAGAGATTTGGTTCATTCATCAATAATGTGAAGTTATATATATACACATACACACTTTATATATATACTTTAGTAATATATATATCCCAATATGGCTATGACTAGGATTACACAAATTAATGGCCTCTCCTACTTAATACAGGTCCCAGTCATAACACCTACTAAATAATGTAATTTCCTTCCTTAAAAATGGCTTCACCAATACTAAGATAAAGAAAACATCGAAAAAAAAATAAGTAAACGTGGAACACTAGATAAATCTCCTTTACAGAATGCCACATAAGTTATATAGATATTTCCTCTCGATGAGGTAGAGCATCACTTCCCACCCATGAAATGTTGGCTACATTTAAGGACTTGCTTTCAGATGAACAGTACAGAAGGAAGAAGAAAATAACTTTACAGTGGAAATACCTGGCAAATTCTGCCTTAAGACTGTGATTAAAATTAACATCATCAATGGTGAGATAAGTTGACAATATGTGCCCTCGATATGGGATGATGAGAATGGCACTTTACCTCTGGCTTTTCTCCAAAAATTCATAACCTCAGTCTAATCATGAGAAAAACATCAGAGAATCACCTCATACCAAACCAGTACACTTAGAAACTGCCAAGTTCTCTAAAAACAAGGAAAGTCTGAGAAAGAGTTACAGTCTAGAAGAGCTAAAAGGGGACATGACAAATCAATGCAAAGTGGCATCCTAGGTGGAACCCTAGAATAGAAAAAGAAATTAGGTAAATGCTAAGGAAATCAAAATAAAATATAGACTTTAGTTAATAATAATGTATTAATGTCAGTTTATTAGTTGAACCATGAACAAATGAAGCATGCTGATGTAAGATGTTGACAAAAGAGAAAGCTGACTGTGGTGAGTATAAAAGCTCTCCATAGTCTGGGCATGGTGGCTCATTCCTGTAATCTCAGCACTTTGGGAGGCTGAGGAAGGTGGATTGCTTGAGGTCAGGAGTTTGAGACCAGCCTAGCCAACATGGTGAAACTCCATCTCTATAAAAAATACAAAAAATTAGCTAGGCATCGTGGGGTGTGCCTATAATCCCAGCTACGCAGGAGGCTGAGGCGTGAGAATGGCTTGAATCAGAGATGGGGAGGTTGCAGTGAGCCGAGATCATGCCACAGCACTCCAGCCTGGGAGACACAGCAAGACTCTGTCTCAAAACAACAACAACCACATCAAACAACGAAACCTGTCTGCACTACCTTTGCAACTTTCCTGTAAATCTAAAACTCTTCTAAAGCAGTTTATTCTTTAAATAAAATAATGATGGCAGAAACTTTAAAATGTAAAATTTTCTGAAAAAAAGGCAGCCAGGAGAATGTAAAGGGCACATCATGTCATACACACAGTAAAATATTATTTAGTCTTAAAATGGAAAGAAATTCTTTGAGAGGCCAAGGTGGGTGGATCATCTGAGGTCAGGAGTTAGAGACTGGCCTGGCCAACCTGGTGTAACCCTGTCTCTACTGAAAATACAAAAATTAGCTGGGCGTGGTGGCGAGTGCCTGTAATCCCAGCTACTCAGGAGGCTAAGGCAGGAGAATCACTTGAACCTGGGAGGCAGAGGTTGCAGTGAGCCGAGATCATGCCATTTTACTCTAGCCCGGGCAACAGAACGAGACTCCATCTCACAAAAAAAAAAAAAAAAGAAAGAAAGAAAGAGAAAAATGGAAAGGAATTTTGGTAAATGCTACAATACAAATGAGTATTGAGGATGTTATGCTATGTGAAATAAGCCAGTCACAAAAATAAATAAATAAATAAAACCAGATACTATATTATTCCACTTTTATGAAGTACTTACAGTAGTCAAAATCCAAGAGATAGAAAGTAGAATGGTGGTTGCCAGAGGCTGATGAGAGGTGGGAGTGGGGAGTTTCAGTGTTCAATGAGTACACAGTTTCAGTTGAGGAAGATGAAAAAAGAAAGTTCTGGAGATGGATGGCAGTGATCGTTGCACAACAATGTGAGTGTGTTCACACTTAAAAATTGTCAAAACGATAAATTTTAGGTTGTCTATATTTTACTTGAGTAGAAAAGTGCCTATGTCAAAATAAATTCATACTTATGTAGGAGTGTATGTTCTTTTAAAAAAGGTGTCATAAATTTTTATTCATTCTATTAGTTAATACCTCTTAGAGCCTAGAGTGGCACCTAAAATGCATCAGGTATTTAAGAAATAGATGTTGGATGAAAAAATCAAGAGGTAATAATTAAGATTTAATTAAACAAGAGAAGAAAGATCTGACTTCATAAAGAAACTCAAAATTTAATGGCACTATCACACATTTAATTTGATTATCACGACTTTTACTTCAATGTAATGAAGATAGGTAAATTCCTGCCTTGAGAAGAGTACAATTTTTATAGGTATATATACTTTCTTTTTTAAGTTATATTGGCAAAGATTAAATCATTGCCCTTGAAAATTCTTATAAAAGAAAAAATGTAGTTTCCATACATCTGTGGATTTAAAATTTACATGTTTAACATAAGCGTGACATTAAACCAACCCAATTCAAGTATGTACTGTTCCCCTATATGGAGAAAAAGCAACATTTAGAGTGAAATTTGAAATGTTTTATGCCCTTGTTAGCATATATTATTTTGAAGCATGAAATATCACTTCCAAAAATCATTAAGTGAGGTATTCCAAGGCCTTTTTGGAGGCCTACGTCTGACCTCTAGGCTTAGGTGCTCTATTTAGGCTGCACTATCTCTGGAAGAAGCCTCCACCATCCACTGGGTCTATATTTTTATCCCAAATACAATTTACCATGGCCAATACATATTTTTTTCACTGGAGCTTTTTGCATGCTTTTCCAGAGAGCCTTTCCTTAAAAATTAAACTTATTGAGTTACAATCATCAGTAGCTTTTTCTTTCTAGTGAAGTTGTAAAGTCTGCCTTGAGAGGCAGTATCCCCAAATGTCAGATATTGAAACCGCCTTTAGAATTATTAGCACAATGACAAGTTGGCATATGTCTTGAGGGCAACATTTTACTGACCGGCATTGAGAATGAATAGATAATATTGGCAGGAGCTGGAATCAATAAATTTATTAAACGTTTCATTTCAGATGTTTAAATTTATTTTAAAATATTTACTGTAATAATTGCATCTGCTAAAATGAATTAACCAGATATGCTAAATGCTTTAAAATTATCATCCAATTTAATTATCAAAATAACAATATGATAGAAGATTATATTGACTATTAAATAGAGGAAGAAACTGAAGTTTACATAATTAAAATTAAATATCTGGATCACAATTCACTCAGCAGGATATCAAGAATTTTGATTCTATCACAGGTAATGTCATTCTCCAGAAATCATACACTCAGCAATGATCGAAGAAGTATTTTTAATGAAGATGCTAAGCATGAAATTTGAGTCTCACAGTGTAGTTTTTATACTTAGGTTTAAAGTCAACAGTGAAAGTTATTTGACAGTTCAAAGTACAGATATTTCCATTATTTAACCTGTAATTTACTTCTAAATTAAACTTAGAGGCAGAGATTTGTGTTATATCAAAACAATAGAAAAATCTAATATGCGCACAGTTAGATCTAAGTTTCAACATTTCAACATTTTAAAAAATCATACTCTCCTTCCAGATATCTCATCTTTCCATTCACGAATAGGATAAGTGAAAGGTTGGATTAGTTACCAGAGTGCTTTCTGGTAGAAGAATTTGTGTTTGCATAAGACAGCTTCAAAGACTAAAAAGTCACAGGATCATTTCCTGGTGTGTTTTCTCATTTCTCCCTTGGTCTTCCATTTTCCTCACCTCTTACTTTCATTAACAGTTTTCCTCTTTTAGGTCTCTTTTCATTTTTAAATCTTTTCTAGACTCTTGTTCCATTTCCTTTTTTGTTCTTTTGTTCATATTACCTCTCCCCCATAGAGCTCAGAGTTGGGAAAGGATGACTCAGATGAAACATTTTGAAATACAGCTTGGTATTATATTCCTCTTTCCACCCACCATTACTTGATTTGTGTCTGTAAGTCCCTTATTCTAAATATTATTATTATTATTATTTATTATACTTTAAGTTTTAGGGTACATGTGCACAACGTGCAGGTTAGTTACATATGTATACATGTGCCATGTTGGTGTGCTGCACCCATTAACTCCTCATTTAACATTAGGTATATCTCCTAATGCTATCCCTCCCCCCTCCCCCCACCCCACAACAGTCTCCAGTGTGTGATGTTCCCCTTCCTGTGTCCATGCGTTCTCATTGTTCAGTTCCTACCTGAGTGAGAACATGTGGTGTTTGGTTTTTTGTCTTTGCAATAGTTTGCTGAGAATGATGGTTTCCAGCTTCATCCATGTCCCTACGAAGGACATGAACTCATCATTTTTTATGGCTGCATAGTATTCCATGCAATCTACTCATCTGACAAAGGGCTAATATCCAAAATCTACAATGAACTCAAACAAATTTACAAGAAAAAAACAAACAACCCCATCAACAAGTAAGCGAAGGATATGAACAGACACTTCTCAAAAGAAGATATTTATGCAGCCAAAAGACACATGAAAAAATGCTCATCATCACTGGCTATCAGAGAAATGCAAATCAAAACCACAATGAGATACCATTTCACACCAGTTAGAATGGCAATCTAAATATTATTTTGACTCGAAGACTAAAATAAGTATAAAATTACATTTTATTTTTTTCTCATTCAATCTCTCCCTACATTGTCCTGCCAAAAATATTGGGAATATAGAAATAGCACATGTATTTGTTATTAGATCAAAATTTTAATTATCATCTTGATTTTTAACAGTAACTATTGCCTTCTGTTTATATTTTCCATTATATTAGTCCATTCAAGCTGCTATCACAAAATCAAAAACTAAGCCACTTAGTTTTTGGAAACAGGAAAGTTCAAGATCAAGGCTCTGTGAGATTCAGGGTCTGATGAGTGCTTTCCACGTCATAAATGGTACCTTCCGGTTGTGTTCCTACATGGTGGGAAGGGCAAAGCAGCTTTCTGAGGCCTCTTTTATTATAAGGTCAATAATCTCATTCATGAGGGTTCTGTCCTCATGATTTAATCACCTCTCAAAGGACACATCTTGTAATATTATTGCACTGGTGATTAGGTTTTAACATATGAATTTGCTGGAGTGGGGGGAACACAAACATTTAGACCATGGCACCAGCCAATGGCAATGTTGTTTAATGTTTACCCAATAGGCAAGATTATTTGAACTAAATAAAATAAATCCTTAGTGAAATTGTTTACACATAGTTCTGGTTTAAGTTATAGTTTGTCTTCCTCATTTAAAATATTTTTTTTTCCAAGCTTAGATTGAGATTTCATTTCCCATGTGATCATTATTACTTTTCTAACTGTATAAAAGTCAAAATAATAAATCATATTTAGTAATCTACCAATATAGAATATTAAAGAGGCTCTGAGAATACAATAAAGAAATAATAAAGTTTTGGAAAAAGTTTAAATAGTATTGGGCCATCTTTATTCACATCCCTCAGAAACATAAACATACATGCATATAAACATACATGCATACATTGCTACTATATGAAGCACGTATGTACATATCCAGTGATATAGCACCCAGATAGGCCCTCACTAAAGGACTTGTTACCCCAGCTGCTGAAGGTGTACCAATGGTCTTCATACTGCTCTTCTTGATTGCCTCAGATGCAGAGTTCTGCTGCTCAAGGGGACTTTCTGCTGTGGTTTGGATGTTTGTTCTTTCCAAATCTTATGTTTGACCTCTCATATGGTAGTGTTTCACCTAGTGGTGGGTGTTCGGGTTATGGTGGTGGATCTTTAATGAAAGGTTCTATTTACTGAGTAGTGAGTGATTTTTGTTCTGGTTCCGGTGAGATAGGATTAGGTATTGAGGGAATAAATTAGTTCCCATGACTATGGGTAGTTATAAAGTGAGGTTTGTCCTCCTATTTGGCCCACTTTCACACATGGTCACTTCCCCTTTGACCTTCTCTTTCATGTTTTCACTTACCCCAAGAGCCCTCACCAAATGCCAAGAAGATGCCAGTGCCTTGTTTCTTGTACAGCCTGTGGAATTATGAGCCAAGTAAGGCCTTTTTCTTTATAAATTTCCCAGCCTCAGGTATTCCTTTATAGCAACACATAACGGACTAAGACACCTTCCTACTCCCAAGTGACCCACATTACTCCATGACTGATAAATGTCGGAATATAAAAGTCAAGCTCCAGAAAACCCTGCGGGGTCAGCTGAAAATGTGTTAGGGCTGCATTTCTGCTTGGCTTCCTTCTCTGCCCAATTCTGTTTCCATCGTCTCCCTTCCACAGATGTTGGTCCCAGAATTGCTTCTTAATAAATATCCTGCAGGCTCAACTCCTTCTCAGAGTCTGTTTTCTGGGAGACACATAAATAATTTTCTAATATCTTTTTATTATTTTATATTTACAATAATTTAAATTATTTTAAAATTGTTATACACACTTTTAAAAATTAAATTACTCTTAGTTGCAATCAATTCTATGACCCTTATATCATTCAAGGTAAGTAATGCAAAGAGATATTTCTATAACCTATAAAGCTGAATCATTACAAATCTTAAATTCACACATGCATAATAACAATTTTACCTATGAGGGTACCAATTTCATAAAAAGAATGTCTGGAAATAAATTAGAAAAAGAAGCAACAAACAACACACAGCTTAAAAATAAATGTTCCAATAAAGTCATTTTTGCCGATAAAAATTGGACCTATAATATATCTCCACTCTTTCAAGGAGAAAAAGTGAGAAGGGGTAAAATGAAATGTGAGCAGAACAAAAGAAAAACAAGTGACTCCCTGATGACAGGAACTCTGTGACCTATAGTCCGTGACCTTCAGGTCTAAATGGGTAGTATACCTTGACACTCTGAGCACTCCTGCAGCAGGCAGCAGATGTTTCTAAATGATTACAATGTGCTACAACACTGAAGATAATATAAATTTCTTTTCAGAAAACATTTTCAGAACCTAGTAATTAAAATTGTTATGTCATTTAGTAGATCTGGAAATGAAGACCAATTAAACAGAAAATAAAAGCACGACAAGAGTGGGGAGAGGGTGAGGAGAAGATCTCTTTTCACTCAAACAAGAAAATTAAAGCTGTATTTTCCCTACCGTTTGCACAGTGTTCTCAATTACCAGTGTATGACCTAACAAAAGAGTTCTATAGCAAAATCCACAGACATCTTTATGTTACATCATCCATTTTGACTCAAGTTTATTTGGGGACCTAGTTGTTTTTAGAGTCACTTGGATTACAAAGTAACTACAATAACAAAAACAACTATTGAAGAAACATGAAACAATATATACTCCTTCAAACATTTTTGCATTTGAAATTCATGTTTGTCACTGACCATCTCACTACTGATGCTATTAACGGGAATAATATCAAATTAATATCTGAGAATACCATATTAATATAATGGGAATTATACCAAAATATGTTTTCAATCCTCGGGGTGCCCATCAGAATAACCCCCCACAAAATATGATCCATTCAAATAATTTTAGGGGCAGCCTGGATGAATTATAAATTATTAATGCTTCTTTCGTAACTCCATTCCACATACCCATTTAAACTACCACAATTATTGATTTGACATCACTCATTACAAAAAATTCTCAAGCCTGTCTATATCTTATGAGATGACAATCAACCATTAGGTTTGAGAAGGGTTTGAATTCAGACCAGATATGAGAACAGAAAGTTTAAATTTTAGCTCTAACTCCATCCTCACTTCACAATATAATAAATAAATATACATTTGACTTTTAATGCAAATGGACTTCCCCTAGGTACAGAACATACAAAACGTCTCTGGGTTTGGTTTTATTCTGTTTGTTGTTGTTGTTGTTTAATGAGCACAGGCTATTTTGGATTTATTTCCAGTCAGTTCCTTTTAATCAACTTTGAAAAGATCTAGAAAGTTATACTTCAAATTTGATAATTAAAAAACCTATTTTTCCCTTTGATAAATATTACTAGCTATTGAGAATCGTTAAATAAACCTCAGGGTAGTTTCCAATTGAAGCCCATTTTCTTTCTTTTTCTCTTCTTCCTTTTTTTTTTTTTTTTTTTTTTCTTGAGACAGAGTTTCATTCTTGTCGCCCAGGTTAGAGTGCAATGGCATAATCTCGGCTCACTGCAACCTCTGCCTCCTGGGTTCAAGCAATTCTCCCTTCTCAGCTTCTCGAGTAGCTGGGATTACAGGCGCCCAACACCACGCCTAGCTAATTTTTATATTTTTAGTAGAGACGGGGTTTCACCATGTTGGCCAGGCTGGTCTCCAACTCCTGACCTCAGGTGATCGTCCACCTCGGCCTTGCTAAGTGTTGCGATTATAGGCGGGAGCCACTGCACCCAGCCTGAGTCCTATTTTCTGATCCTTTGAAATCTATATAACAAATAAATAAGATTAATTCAATAGTGGTTTAGACTGCAAAGTTAAGCTTTATTTTCTAAAGCTTTCTAGAGATGCATTTTAGGACTCATTAAGTATTTGCTTTGTGGACATAAAATATCAAACAACATTTAAATCTAAATAGGTATCTGTACCTGAGATTAATTTTTAAATTCAATTACACAATTTTCAGGTCAATGATTGGTTTTCGTTTTCTTTTCTTTTTTTTTTTTTTGAAACGGAGTCTCACTCTGTCACCCAGGCTGGAGTGCAGGGGCGCCATCTCGGCTCACTGCAAGCTCAGCCTCCCTGATTCACACCATTCTCCTGCGTCAGCCTCCTGAGTAGCTCGGACTACAGGCGCCCGCCACCACACCCGGCTAATTTTTTTTTTATTTTTAGTAGAGACGGGGTTTCACCGTGTTAGCCAGGATGGTCTCAATCTCCTGACCTCGTGATCCGCCCGCCTCGGCCTCCCAAAGTGCTGGGATTACAGGCGTGAGCCACCGCGCCCAGCCCAGTGATTGGTTTTCTTAGTCAACCACTATTAAAAATATTTTGCCCTGGAAAAGTTGATGAAGATATACAAGATATCTTTCTCAGAGTGTGACTCTGAACAAACATAAATTAATGTAATCTAATTTTTCAAAAGTGGAATTGTAATTAAGACAAGAACAACCAAAAATAAGCAGTAATCATTTATTATTGAACTATCTATTATTATGTTTAGTATTGAACTAGCATACCATTTATGCAAGATTATTAAATTGATACTGAAGGCATTTTGAAGTATTCCTTTTTCTCCTTCCCTCTACGCTTGATATTTGGTGATTTTAGGCTTTCAGGGTAAGATTTTTTTTTCTGATAAATTTCAATGTTGAGAAGAGAGAAAATGTATCATCTTGTACATAGACTGGGCTATAAATTTTGACATAAGGTAACAAATTAGAAATAATTTATTGATTCCTTTTTATTACTTGTTGGTAGAAGTGATATCACTCTAACAACACTGACTAAAGCCATTTCAGATTTTCAGTTTTTCTCTATACCAATTTATTTCTGATTATTATTCCTTGTGTGCCTCTCCCTTGATCTGGTTCTCATGGTCTGTCTCTACATAAATAAACTGGTAAAAAGCATTAGAAGGTCGGCACTGATCAGGTGCTGATTGGCTTAGAGAGGAGGAAGTTCCAAGATAGAGTACTTGAGGGAAAAAAAATGGAAAACATATATAGAGAAAAAGGATCAACTCTTTCCTTTCTAACTGGAATTTAATTAGCTGTCATCTTTTGGTTCCATCTTACATGGTTAATTTCAAAAAGAAGGTTGACAACACTGTACTACTTATGCTTTTTTTTTTTTTTACCCAAATACTTAAGTATTTGGGTAAAAAAAAAAAAAGAGAGAAAGAGAAAAGCAGAGACAGAAAGAGATAGAGATAAAGACAAAGAGATTGAGCCAACCAGGATAGGCTAGATTAAGCTGTGGTAATAAATAACCCCCTAAATTTTAGTGGTTTAAACAAAAAAGATTTGGGGGCAGTTATTGTTAATACCAAGTGTCCATCAAAAATTGGGGAAGGCCTTTTTCTATCTTATCTTTATTCAGAAATCCAGCCTGCATTGTCCAGAAGAGAAGTAAGGTAAACCGTACCCCAGCTCTTAAATGCTTCTGCTTACCTTGGTCAAGACAACTCATTTGGTCATGTCTAATTTTAAGGGAAAAAGTTCCTATATCCCCAGAAGGAGAACTTAAATTCTTAGTGAAAAATTTAATGCCTATCATAGCTTAATTTTTTTTCACATAGGAACACAAGATTGCATATATAAATATGAATATGAGGATGGATAGATAGATAGATTTTGGTTGGAGATGATTTAGTATTTACATCCAATACTTAGGACTGCACCTATTCCAGCATCATTTTCTAATAGTAGATTTGAAAAGTATGTGCTTTATTTCTCTGTAGAGTGAAAAATCAAAAAATAAAATAAAACTACAATGAGATTTGAGAGAGTAACTTTAAGAGTTAATCATGCTATAAATGTATTTCAATAACTAAGTGTCTTGCTGAAAAATATACTTACAGTGTTTTTTGTGTTATATCAAATGTGTAAAAACAATATAAATAAAAAGATAAATACATGTCAAGAGAGTTGGTATAGAAGTAGCAATCCAACAATTCTCTTCTTTAATATAAATAGAGATTTGCCAGCTTTTCAGCAGTGACCCCTTGTGCTTCCCAGGTGAGGCGATGCCTCGCCCTCCTTCGGCTAACGCTTGGTGGGCTGTACCCATTTTCCTGCCCACACTGTCCGACAAGCCCCAGTGAGATGAACCCGGTGCCTCAGTTGGAAATGCAGAAATCACCCGTCTTCTGCATTGCTCACACTGGGAGCTGTAGACTGGAGCTGTTCCTATTTTGCCATCTTGGAACTGCCCCCTATTTTTCAATGCTTCTATTAATACTCTGTAAATTTACTAATGCATTTCTACAATATTTATGAACTTGTTCTTTAGAGATACATATTTTCTGACCTTTACTGTGGTAAACATTAAGCTTTATTTTTACCTTCAACCCTAGGATCTTGTAATGTGAAGAAAAAGTTGTATAGTTTTAGGAAAAGTAGATCTAGACTGGATAAAGTTAATAAAATGTTCCAAAAAGTATCGCTACAAAATAAAAAAACGTTAAGACTTTTAGGATCATATTTTTTTAAACTGATCCACATATGAATAATGAAGTAACAGATTTGAAACAGTAAAACTCATCCTTGATCAAATCTTATTCACTTACTATTGCTTGCTTAAAAACAGAAATATGATAATTATCTCAGATTTCGAAAGCAAAAAGCAACAGTGAAAACTGAAAAATTCTTCACACCAGTTTTCCAGAACTCATTATCCATGTTTAAAACACACACACACGCACGCACATACACAGGATTTACACATTCAGAGTAGAAAATCTCAACGTTAAGCAGTGACCATTTCTTGGTAATCACATCTATGTTTATTTCAGCAAAGCAATAAAAAAAATTTGATGTTTTTGTAGCAAGCATTTCAAAATCAATCAATTTGACCACGAGAAAAACCATTCTGACCAAACAAGGATTCTGAGTCTTTAATTTGATGGTAGCTCTGTCATGTGTGTTAGATAATTAATGTTAACAACACAGGTTTCTAGGCTATCAAGTCTTTTGGAACGCTGAAGTGATCCACTTTTTATTCTGTTACCCTCCCTCCCTCTATGCTGCCTGTATGATTTTGAAATCCAGTCCTTTCTTCGGAGCATCTGGCATAAATCTCCATCAGACATGAAGAAGAAGGGGCGAATTCTATGGTCTGCATGGGAACAGCCTGACAGCTGCCTGTTTAATCCCTTGACAATGCAAAAATTTCTTCAAGGAGGGAATCTCACTTAACATGCAAACAGAGAGGCCCAACACATTTGGTCCCGTTCCATATTAGTGATATTAATTAGAATGTAATAAAACTGCATTTTTTTTTTCTGGAAAAGCAGTTCAAAAGATAGAAAATGAATTTTCTTATGTCGGCTTTTAGATTTACATAGTACGTTTGAAATTGTATTGTGTATTTACAGATGTCAGTATCTGACATACTGATGACTTTGATACTACTGTAATGTAATAGTTTGCTAAAAGACTTAAGGAATTTTTTTACTTGAGACCCAGAATGTAGGATGGATATGGAAAAGAAGAGAGATGTCATGGATGGACATAGATAATTTTTATGTTTTTATATTTGTGTTTTTACTTATATTTTGTCCTCGAAGCACCCAATAGCTTTCACCAGATGATTCTTACCATCAGGGTTGAGATCTTGTTCATCTTTGTGATGCCAGACAGAATTGCATTTGCCAGAAACTTTCTATGCCTGTCTCCCAAAAAGTTATAGCTATTTGACCTCATATGACATATTCCATGACTCTAGTCTTTTTTAGTAACGCATTCCAGCAATTCAAAGCCTTAGAGCCATAAAGAAATGCTACTAAATGGAAACTCAAGGAGAGAAAGGCAAATACTGTTTCCCATTTATTACTCTGGCATTCACTCCAAAACTGGCTGAATTATTTTACTTCCCACTATGGTCAGCACCCCTCCTTGCATTGACCATCATCCAAATTAGAGAGGAGCCTGATCTGAATTTACTCTAAAAAAAAAAAACAAAAAACAAAAAAAAAACTTGATAAATTTGATCATTTCTAGCTCCTTCTTTGTGTTTCTAATCTGTAAAATGGAGCTGTAATTATGTCTCAGTTTAACCTATGACAACGGAGACAACCTTGGGACAATTAGAATTTCATTAGAATCACTATCAAAAGGAATCCTCTAATTACAAGTCTCATTCTTGTTTTACATTCTCCTCAGAATGTTTCAGATTAATAACAGCTAATACACATATTATTACCTTCATCAGGGACTCTTTAAAGTGCTCTACAAATATTAATTCATTGTGTTAAGAACCTTGAGCACATTTTCAGATTTCCCTGATGGCCTGTTCTTGCTGTCAGAGCCCTACTGCACTGGGTCTTCTATTCACTGTCAGATTCTGGAACCTCTCTGCAAGGTTTCTTAAGAAAAGACCAAAGCCTGGATGGCCACATGGATCTGCAAGAGAGCTATTACTGCATCGGAGTGAACCTTGACCAATAAGAGATTGAGTCATGAAGATAACGTCCCTCTTCCTTCTCCCTTTCCTGGCTATTTCTTATTCCAATCCTTCCAGGTATTGTCATGTACAGAGAGAACATGCTTGCCAAGAGGTCTTTTGTATCTAGGTGGCTTGCTGTGAAATCGTGCCCAGGTTGATAAATATCACATAATTTTATCTCTTTTGTTACCTCAGTTTCCTTTTCCTTTCTCTCTTACCACCCTGGCTAGAAATACCAAAATAAAGGGTTAGCTCCTTAAATCTTGATTCTGGCTTTTCTTTCTAAGAATAAGGTGCTGATATAATCTTTGGAAAAATCCTACATGGTAGGCATTATGGTTTCAGCCATTGTAGAGATAAGAAAACAGAAACATAATAAAATGAAGTCACTTGCAGAAGTTAACATAGATAGTCAACAGCAGACCATAATATCAGTTTGAGTCCAGAGTATATGTTCTTAAACCAACACCATATGATGGTCTGGATCATGAAGTCAGCTTGGAGTCAAACCTTTGCATCAGCTTCATTTCCACAATCACAAAGAATGTTTTGGTGAGAGAAGGAGGGGATAAAGAAATAACACTAAAGATAGTTTTCTTGGGTCCTGAACAATGCCATAGACAATGTGACAATTGACAATGCCACACTCAATCTACTATCTAATTGAAATATTATTGCCAATGTTAGTGTCTGCTAACACACTGCTCCCATAGCTATAGAGCAGGGAAGTAGAATTTTTAATACTGTCAGTGCCAGAATTTCCAGGAAGCAAGGTGAATAAATATATTCTGGATTACTGTATTCTTCTGAATAAGCCTCTGGAAGAAATCCTACATACATCTGTATATTGCCTCAATAACTTAGAGCAAAGTATACTTTAATTTTAAATAGTAAATCCATCCACAATGGAGGACTAAGAATTTGCTGAAGATCGTTACCATCAATTTTTAACTATATGTCTTTTTATACTTAAACTTCCCTTTTAAAAATCAAACTTAGTAAATCCTCAAGTTAACATAGCAGTGGATTCCCATTAACCAAACCTAAAAAGCAGTTACCATAATAAAATTATAAAACATGAAAATGGATACTTGGTTGTGAAAGTATAAAATTAATATTTGCTTACTGTGGTTTACAACTTGAAATGTCAACATTAAAAAGTTGGGAAATCTAAGCATTTGTTCCTAGTAATATTTTCTCACTTATAAACAATAATAAATCTGACAACCTACTTATTATTGCAGAATGGACTATGGTCTGCCTCAAGTACATGTAAACCATTCCATTCATTTCAAAAAATCAATTATAGTTCCTTCAGGAAATTGTTAGGGAGTCTCAAAACCAAGTTGCATTTTTTTATAAGTTCAAACTCCAAACTCTATGTTCTTCGGACCCATAAGCTAAATATTATTCTTTGAATCCTCAACTCTCTAGTTCCCACATTCAAAACATCAGACCAGTTCTTTCTTTACAACATTTTCTCAATTTTAATGTTTTTTTTCCATTCTCATAGCTTCAAAGCTGGGCACACACTATTTTCTGGTTATAATTCAACCAATATGGCCCTGCATATTGTGGAAGCTGTATGGCAGTTTAGGGAGAAGCATTTCCATAAATTACAATCTGAATTACATCACTTCCCCCCAGTCGTGATGCAATTCACATTCCCCTACAATCACAATTCTCCATTTGATTAAGGATATCTCTTCACATCCAACTGGCTTAAACAAATTTTTACATTGTTCTCACATGGTCTCCATTCTATTTAAAGAACTACACTTCTGTTGATCTTCAGTATCTATTATGCAAATCCTTCAATAAAGAGTGAAATGAGTAGAACAGAATAATGCCATTATTACATTTATTTGAGTGTTTCTTTTTGGAGGATAATTTTGGGTTTCCTTTAGGTATACTTTAAAAAATTCCTACCAAATTACAATAAGCACAATGTATTAATATTAGACAGGATTATCTGAAGAAACAGAACTAACAGCATATATGCATGTGTGTATGTACGTGTGTGTGTGTATGTGTGTAGTCAGAGAGAGACAGAGATTGACAATTTAGCATTGACATATCTTACTTATTGCAGATATTGCATGTCTAACAAATTGAAGATTTGTGGCCACTCAACATCAAGCTAGTATATCAGCACAATTTTTTCAATAGCATTTTCTCACTTCATGTCTCTGTGTCATATTTTGGTAATTTTTGCAATATTTCAAAATTTCTCATTATTATTATTATATCTGTTAATATAGTTTGGATATTTGTCCCCTCCAAATCTCCCATTGAACTTGGATCCCTAGTGTTGGAGATGTGGCCTAGAAGGAGGTGTTTGGGTCATGGGCACAGATCCTTCCTGAATGGCTTGAGGCCTTAATGAGTGAGTTCTCACTCTATTATTTCACATAACAGCTGGTTGTCTAAAAAGGTGTGGCACCCCTACGCTTTTGCTCCCTCTCTCACCATGTGACACACCTGCTCTCCCTTTGTTTTCTGTCATGATTGGAAGTTTTCTGAGGTCTTCACCAGAAGGAGATGCTGGTGCCATGCTTCTCGTACAGCCTGCAGAACCATGAGCCAAATAAAACTCTTTCCTTCATAAATGACCCAACTTTAGGTATTCTTTTATAGCAACACAAAACAAAGACATCTTTTATGGTGATCTGTGAACAATGACCTTTAATGTTACTATTATAATTGTTTGGGGGTACCACAAACCACCACCATACAAGAGGGCAAACCTAAGGAATAAATATGTATGTTTGGACTGCTCCATCAACTGTCCATTGCTCTGTCTCTCTCCCTCTCCTTGGGCCTCGCTATTCCCTGTGACACACAATATTGGAATTAGGCCAACAATGAGCTCTAAATGTTGAAGAATCACACAACTCTCACTTTAAATAAAAAGCCAGAAATGATTAAGCTTAATGAGGAAGTATGTCAAAAGCAGAGACAAGCCAAAAGTTAGGCCTCTTTTAGCAAACAGTGGGCCAAGTTGTAAATATAAAGGAAAAGTTTTTCAAGGAAATTAAAAGTGATAAACATGAGTGAGAAGAAAGCAAAAAAGCCTTATTGCTGATATGGAGAAAGTTGTAGTGATTTGAATAGATCAGTGCAGCCACAACATTCTCTTGAGCCAAAGCCTAATTCAGAGCAAAGTCCTAACTCTTTTCAATTCCGTGTAGTCTGAGAGAGGTGAGGAAACTGCAGAAGAAAAGTTTGAAGCTAGCAGTTGATTCATGAGATTTAAGGAAACAAGCCATCTCCAGAACTTAAAAGTGCAAAACGAAGCCACAAGTGCTGATGAAAAGCTGCAGCCAGTTATCCAGAAGATCTAGCTAAGATCATTGACAAAGGTGACTACATTAGCAAAAGAGTCCCAGTGTAGATGAAATAGCCTTCTGTTGGAAGAAGATGCCATCTAGGACTTTAATAGCTAGAAAGGAAAAGTTGATGCCTGGCTTCAAAGCTTTGAAAGACAGGCTGACTCTCTTGTTAGGGGCTAATGCAGCTGGGAACTTTAAGTTGAAGGTGATGCTCATTTGCCATTCTGAAAGTCATGAGGCCCTTAAGAATTATGCTAAATTTACTCTGCCTGTCATCTATAAATGAAACAACAAAGGTTGTATGACAGTATACCTGTTTATAGCATGGTCTACTGAATATTTTAAGCCCACAGTTGAGATCTACTACTCAGAAAAAAAAATTCTTTTCAAAATATTAGTATGCATTGATAACACACCTAGTCACCCAAGATCTCTGATGAGATGTAAAAAAAGATTAATGTTTGAATGCCTGCTAACATAGCATCCTTTCTGCAGCTTATGAATCAAGGAGTAATTTGGACTTTCAGGTCTTATTATTTATTTGTTATTTTGTTAAGCTATAATTGCCATAGACGGTGATTGCCGTAATGGATTTGCACAAAATAAATTACAAACCTTCTGGAATGAATTCACAATTGCTGAAACCATTAAGAATATCTGTGATTAATGGGAGGAGATCAAAAATATCAACATTTACAGGAGTTTGAAAAAAGTTTATTCCAACCCTCATAGATGACTTTGAGGGGTTCAAGACTTCAGTGGAGGAAGTAACTGCAGATATGGTGGAAATAGCAAGATAACTGAATTAGGAGCAGAGCCTGAAATGGAACTAAAATGCTGTGACTGGGTTTGACAGGATTGACTCCAATTTGGAAAGAAGTTTTACTGTGGGTAAAATGCTATCAAACTGCATTACATACATACTACAAAGAAATCATTTGGGAAAGGAAGAGTCAGTCAATGTGGCATACTTCACAATTGTCTTATCTTTAGAAATTGCTACAGGCACCCAACCTTCAGCAACCATCACCTTGATCAGTCAGCAGCCATCAATATTAAAGCAAGACCCTCCACCAGCAAAAGGATCACAACTCACTGAAGGCTCAGATGATGGTTAGCATCTTTTAGAGTTTTTAAATTAAAGTATGTAGATTGCCTTTTTAGACACAATGCTATTACACACAATATACTACAGTATAGTGTAAACATTAATTTTTGTATGCACTGGGAAATAAGAGAAATTGTATGACTGACTTTATTGTGATATTCACTTTATTGTTGCAGTCTGGAACCAAATACGCAATATCTCTGAGTATGCCTATATAAGGAATTGGACCACGTGATTATGTAGGCTCCAGAATCCAACATCTGCTGTGTGATTATCAGGCTGCAAACCCCAAAACTCAGTGTTGCAGATAAAGTCTAAGCGCAGTGTGCTGGAGAACTTTCTCTTGCTCAAAGAGGCTAGTCTTTTTATCCTACTCAGGCAATCAGCTGATTGAATAAGGCCCATCCACATTATAAAGGATAAAGTTTTACTCAAATTTCACTGACTTAAAGGTTGATCTCATCCAAAACACCTCCAAGCTGACACATAAAATTAACCATCACACATAATAAATGTGACTATTACTGCTTTTTATTGATTTTTTCCCTTCAAGTAACAGTAGACGGCACTCAGGCTCTGTTTAACAGCGATTAGTTAACAGCCCTGCATTGCAGGTGTTTGAGGAATATATTAGGCTGGCAAAAATAATTTTGCATGGCATAATAAAAATGTAATGGGTTAATAAAAATTAATCTTTATGATTTTTTATATGCTACATCCTCAGAAATCAATGGGACTCACAAAAAATAATACATAAAACAACATCCCAGTTTCTTAGGCTCAATGTCACATTTTTAGTATATATATATTTTTTTGGTAATTTGCAATTAAGGTATAGAGGAGGTTTAGAATAGAGTCAGACTGCTTAGGATTAAATCCTCATCTGATGTATTAGAAGCTGGGTTATTGCAGACAAGTCACTTAATCTCTGTTTCTTAATTTTCTCAGCTATAAAATAATATTAATAGAACCATCTTCATGGGTAGTTAGAAGAATTAAATAAGGCAATATTTGTAAAGTGCTTAGAAGAGTGCCTGGCTATTAGTAAGTGCTATATGTGTTTATTTTACATTAAGAAGAAATAAATAATTGTCCCACCTTAAGCAAGGGCCTTTTCATCTTCTGTGAATTGACTTTGAAGAAATGCAATATCACAGTGACCACTCTAACTAATTAAAATTTTCAAGTTCGCTTAAACTTTTTACATAAGTAAAAAACAGTGGGCTTGAAAGTGTTTGGATAATATATGCTCTTCAATAGTTAGACTTGTTTGTATGAGCAGGATAATGGTAGTTCTCTCTAGTAGAGAAATAAAGTTGTCTGTGTCTTTAAGACACGTGAGTGTATAAACAATAAGCAGACAGTTTAATCTCTTTGTTAAGGAAAGAGTCAGCACATTAGGTGAAGTGGAGTTGGTGGGAGTTAATTCAGGTGTGTGGCATTGTGAACACAAAATAATTTTTTAACCAGTTTTTCTCTTTTTTTCAGTTTCCACCTGGTAGATGTAATGATACATAAGCCCATATCCATGGAAAATATTCCCAGAGGAAGGGCGGTGGTAAAGTTGGGTAATTTCTTCTTTAGCTGTGTTTGATACAGTATTGGATTATGATATTCAGTCTCTGGTTTACCAAAGACCATATATGCCATTTATGTGCCCTAGGATGAGCAATAAATCAGGCCATTTCCAAGCATTTAGTCTAATAATTGTATTATGCTGCCCTAAGAACTTCGAGATTGTTCAAAAATTTGAAATTTTTTTCTAGATTTTTGATATCAAATGTACTCTTTAAAGCAACTCCTACAGATAAATCACATCAACTGTGCTGGGTTAAAAGACAAGAAAACATATATCAATCTCCTTAGGCTTAGGTGGGCAAGCACAAGTTGACTAACCAAGGAGATTTATGTGGCTTCGATATTGCAGTTGCATTCAACCTCTGTTTCATCAGCAATAGATGTTGATGTTCATTTCTAATTACTGACTGGCTCTCCAGCTCTTGTACTGCAAGAGATTGGGTCAAAATGACCCAGAAGAGTAAAAACCTGACAGTGAGGAAGGCCAGCATTTCCACAAAAGCGTATCCTTGTCATGTTTATATCAGAAATTTAAGGCCTGATTCCACACAAAGTAGAGAATGTATGGGTATCTTAATACACAGAAATAACAAGAAAAGATCACAAGAGCATGATGTTAGACTTGAAGAACTTTATTTTTTAACTGTGGTGAAATAAAAATGTAAATAAGCTATACTTCCATGCTCATGAAATATATGAGGGTGTCATAACCCTGATATAGACAAGCATCATATGTCCCTGGGAATGTGAAGATAGTTCAGGCAATCATTACCAATGGCAATGATTCTACTCTTTCCTTATTATTGATAGAAATTTAAAAGATATATTTTATATTAATTCATAACAGTGTATTAATATTTGATATTACTCTTAATTTATAGTTGCACCTGTAGGTTTGTAGTCTTTCTACCTTATTTTTGAGATATGCAGATATTAAATGTTTTCTTATTTTAATTCATGTTTAATTTGTGGTTAAATGACCCTTTCCTGCCCTAAAGTTATAAATTATTTACCCAGGAGTCTTGCAGATAGTTACATGGTTGTATATTTTACATTTAAATCTAGTATTTGTTTTGGTGTAAACAATGAAAAAAGTCCATATTTATTTTTAACACCATTTATCATATGCCCCAATTTATCTTTACTAATTTTGTAAATAATTTTTATAATGTATTATATTTCCATTACACTTGAGTCTAATATACAGTCTCTCAATCAATTCCTATGTCACTTCCACACTGCTTTTTAATTTATGAAACTTTATAGCACATTCACTATTGATAGAACTAGGCCTCATATTTTTGTTTTTCCTATTATTTTAATATTTTTTATATTTATTCCTACAGATGTTCTTTCAAGTCATTGTTTTTATAATGTTAAATATGTCATAATATTCAAGGTGTTAAAAAAAAGCACTTGGGTGAATTTGATTGAAATTGATTGCATAGCACTTACAGGTTAAGTAAGGGAGAACTGACAAATTTCAATTTTTTCCTATTTGAGAACTAAATATATCTATCTCTAGCAGTCTTTCATCCATAAAAAGTTTCAGAGTTTTAGATGTATTTTCTCATATTGTTCTAGCATGTTTTGTATTATTAATAATAGATTTTCTATTTTTATAATATTTTGATTGTGTTTATAGATAAAAAGCTACTGAATTTATGTCTCAAATCATTTAAATGAATTCATTAATAAAAACCATCTTCATAGATTTATAAAGCAATAGTCCTGATATTTCATTTTCTCTGTGGATAATGCCTGGGGAATGTATACAGAAAGAATCCTCAGGTTCATTGCAATAGTTTCCAATTCCCCCAGCACTTAGATGTCTACATGTTTGTGAGCCACTAAATGATCAAATTATTTAAATTCACTCTTCCTAGATGCATCTGTATTTCACATTCACATTGAGTCTTTGTAAAGTTTGTCAAAGTATAATTCATATGAGTTGCAGAATTTGAGAGGTAGATGAAACTATAAACATTATTGAGTCTAATCCATTAAATGTTTCCCATACTTCAAAATATATTGGTCTTTAAAAAATTGAAATATTTTAGTTTTTTAAATGAAATATGATCATCATTCTTCCATTGCTCCAATTACTGAACATTGGTTGATTGTATTATGCTATCACAATGTTGAGTAAATGGCCAGGGACCAACTGCAGTGGCAGCTGCTCATTTTACTGTAACTACAAAGCTGATATCCAGAAAAAAACTGCTATGTCCATAAGGCAACTGATCTTCTCAGTGGTAGATCAGGGTCTCTGATTCCCCTGAGGTTGGGCAGGGAGCCCAGAAGAATAATTTATTAGTGTCAAAAAAGAGATTACTTGGACAAGTATGGGTAACAAACACAGTCCCTGATGCAGCACAGTTCCTCTACCAAGTTTCATAGTGGCAAAAATCATAAATCTTTCTTGTTTAAGTAACAGATGTCTCACTATTTTTTATATTTGTTAAACCAGGAATGAGTCAATTCCTATAGGTCCATAATCAAGAAATAGGTTAAATACCAAGGATGAGATCTACTGCCTAGGCTGTTTGTCAGGAATCAGGGGAAAAGGCTCATGTTTTTGTCCCAGACTCCTTAATGGAATATATTAATAGTATTCAACTACATTAAAAAATAAACAGATGATATGTCATAACATCAACTGAAAAAGTCTAAACCTTCTTACAGAAGTTCTTATCAACTGAAAATGGAGTATTATCTCTTGTTGGCAGCTTGAATGGAATGAGTCTATAAAAGTAACCTTCTCTTATCCTTACTAGTATCTAATTTTTCAGCATAGATTTATTTTAAGATTTGTCTTACGGTAAGAATCCCATGGGGTTAAAGTTAGCTATGTTACTATGTTTTTAACAGTGTCGTGAAGTTAATGTCGGCACCATTTAGTCAGTTACCTAAGCTTCCCAATTCGCTTCCTCAATGTGTGTTAAATTTTCAATCTCTTCAATGTCTTCTGTTCCAAAATGATAACGTAAGATCTGCATATTTTAGCCCCTCTGATATCTAGCAGTTAACCTTATTCTGGCCTACCACTTGCTCGAGATGTGGCAGTCGTGTTTACTGACTATGGCAGGAAAAAAAGATGAACTTCCTTTAGGGACAGAATAGAGAGAAGTTCAAGATGTCTGATAAAATCCATGGAGGCGGTTAATTATAAATTGGAGGTGATTGCTAATAAAGGCCATATCAAAGGCTTATTCTATGTACGCAGGAGAATGAATAAAATCCAGGGTTAGGAAAGCAACGAGGAATCTCTGACTACACGTCCAGCCTATTGAGAGGCACTCGTTCATATGCATCTGATGATCTAATAGGCTATTTTGTCTTGTGTCTTTGCAGATGTGGTTTTCCCACGGAAGGCTTTTTCTCTCTGGCCAGCATACTAAACTCCTTCTCATATTTAAAATTGAACTCTGATAAGGCCTTCACTAACTCTTCTATTACTCCTCTCACCCAAAAACCTGATACTCTCTTCCTGCCAGAATGTTAGCTAATACCTATAGGTAGTTTATATAGGAGATGGAAGAATGACCCCAAGAACCTGAAGACAATAAAAATAAGAGCTCCCTTCAAGAGTTAGCTGCATACACAGTCACAGTGAAGAGTTAGAATAACTTCTGGACTATGGTAATTCCATATGAATAGAAATGCTGATATTAGCATATCTAAAGGACACTTCCAAGAGTAAAATAGCTATTAAGTTCAGGAAAGAACAAGAAGTGTCTCTAAGGCATATGTTGGTAGTCTACATTTGGGTACTAACTGTTCGGTCAATACTTATTACTACCTATCTTAGCAGCAGTTATAAAATGGTTGGTGATTTAATTCATTTCAAATAAGATTTAGATTTAGGAAGGAGAAGGGGATGTGACAGGGACTTGAGGTGCTGAGTTCCATTTGTGGAATTTTGTTTTTATGTGCCTATGTGCCTCCAGGCATGTAAACAGAGATACAAGATAGACTGCCAAGCCTAGAGGTATACATTTAGTGTTTATCAATGAACTGATGAATCTATAAGCCCTATGAGTAGGTGAGATTGCCAGGGTGAGAATAGAAAAAAACAAGTGGCAGGGACTAGGGTTCTGATTTTAAGGGAAAAGTGCTCAGCTTGTCACGATTGAGTATGTTAGCTGTTGGTTTGTCATATAAGCCTTTTGTTATTTTATTATATGTCAAGTTACATTTATTCTATACCTATTTTGTTGATAACTTATTTCATGAAAGGATATTAAATTTTGTCAAATGCTTTGCCTGCATCTATTGACATGATCATATGATTTTTATTCTTCATTCTACTAATGTGGTATATCATATTCTTTGATTTGTGTGTGTTAAATCATCCTTGCATCCCACGAATAAATACCACTTGATCATGATGTATGATCCTTTCAGTGTGCTACTGTATTTAGTTTGAAAGTACTGTTTTAGTTTTCCCCATCTACGTTTTTCAGAGTTTTTGCCAGGCAATTTTCTCTTTTTGCAGTGTCCTTGTCTGGCTTTGGCAGCAGGGTAAGGCTGGTCCTGTGAAATGAGTTTGGAAATGTTCCCACCTTATCAATTTTTTGGAAGAGTTTGAGAAATAGTGACATTATTTCTTCTTTAAGTGTTTTGTAGAATTTGGCAATGAACCCATCAGGTCCTAGCTTTTCCTCATTGGAAGGTTTTAGATGATTGATACAATCTCCTTGTCGTGATTGGTCTTTTTCACTTTTCTATTTTGTCATGATTCAATTCTAGTAGGTCATATGATTTAGAAATTATCTGTTTCTTCTAGTTTACTCAATTTGTTAGTGTATAATTGTTCACAGTAGTCTTTTCTGATCCTTTGTATTTATTTACATGGTATCAGTTGTAATATCTCCTCTTTCTTTTGTAATTTTATTTGAGTCCTCTTTATTTCTTGATTAATCTTGTTAAACGTTTGGCAATTTCATTTGCTTTTTCAAAAGTCACCCCAGTTTTATTGATTTTTGGTGTTTCTAGTTTGCGTTTTATTTATTTATTGTATGATTTTTAATATCCTTTTCCTTCTGTTGATTTTTAGGCTTAGTTTATTCTTTTTCTAGTTCTTTAAGGTATAAAGTTGGGTTGTTTATTTGAGACATTTCTCTTTTCTTAATGTGGGCATTTATTGCTGTTAACTTCCCTCTCAGAATTGCATTTGCTGCATCTCATAATTCTGGGTATATTATGCTTTTATCTTGTCTCAAGATAATTGTTGACTTCTCCTTTCATTTCTTCTTTGATTCATCAGTTCTTCAGTAGTGTGTTGTTTAATTTCCACATATTTGTGAATTTTTCAATTTTCTTCCTGTTATTGATTTCTAGTTTTATACTACTGTGGTCAGAAAAGATACTTATTATGATTTAATTATTTTTAATTCTCTTAAGATTTATTTTTTGTCCCAACAAAAAATTTGTTCTGAAGCATGTTCTGTATGTGCTTAAAAAGAATGTGAATTCTGCTCTCTTGGGTGAAATAGTGTTTTTTTCTGTTAGGTCCATTTGGTCTATAGTGTTATTCAAGTCTGCTTTTTTTCTATTTATTTTCTATATGGATCATCTGTCTATTATTGAAATTGGGGTGTTGAAGTCCCCTGCTATTTTTGTATTGCTGTCTATTTCTCCCTTCAGTTCTATTAATATTTGCTTTATATACTTAGGTGTTCCAATATTGTGTGCATATATATATACAGTTGTTATATCTTCTTGATGAATTGACTTCTTTATCATTACATAATGACCTTTTTTGTCTCATGTCAGTTTTTGACTTACGGTCTATTTTGAGGTATAGGATATACATATAGCCACATTACCTTTCACTACTATTTGCATGGAATATCTTTTTTTATACCTTCGCTTTCAGCTTATGTGTGTCCTTAAAGCTAAAGTGAATCCCTTGTAGGTAGTATAAAATTGGATTTCTTTATCTATTCATCCCACCACTGTATGCATTTTGATTGGATAATTTAGGCCATTTACATATTGTTAAGTAATCATATACTGTCAGTCATCTCTCAATGTGAATGAGGGATTGGTTCTAGAACCCTCCACAGATACCAAAATCCATGATACTCAAGTTTCTTATATTAAATGGCATAGCATTTGCATAGAACCTATGCACATCCTCTCATATACTTTAAATCATCTCTAGATTATTAAAATAGTTGATAGAATGTAAATGCTATGTAGTTGTTAAACTGTGCTATTTTTCTCGTTGTTTTTTATTATTTTTTCCATATATATTCCCATATATATTCCCATATATATTCCCATATATATATTCCCATATACATATTCCCATATATATATTCCCATAAATATATATTCCCATATGTATATATATTCCCAAATGTATATATATTCCCAAATATATATATTCCAATATATATATATTCCAATATATATATTCCCATATATATATATTCCAATATATATATTCCCATATATATATTACAATATATATATATTCCCATATATATATTACAATATATATATATTCCCATATATATATTACAATATATATATTCCATATATATATTACAATATATATATATTCCCATATATAGATTCCCATATATATTCCAATATATATATTCCAATATATATATTCCCATATATATATATCCATATATGTATATTCCCATATATATATTCCCATATGTATATTCCCATATATATATTCTGCCATATGTATATTCCCATATATATTCCCATATATATGTATTCCCATATATATATTCTCATATATATGTATTCCCATATATATATATTCCCATATATATATTCCCATATATATTCCCATATATATATATTTTCCCATATATATTCCCATATATATATTTTTCCCATATGTATATTTCCATATATATATTCCCATATATGTATATTTCCATATATATAGGTTCCCATATATGTATATTTCCACATATATATAGGTTCCCATATATGTATATTTCCATATATATAGATTCCATATATGTAGATTCCCATATATATAGATTCCATATATGTAGATTCCCATATATATAGATTCCATATATGTAGATTCCCATATATATAGATTCCATATATGTAGATTCCCATATATATAGATTCCATATATGTAGATTCCCATATATATAGATTCCATATATGTAGATTCCCATATATATAGATTCCATATATGTAGATTCCCATATATATAGATTCCATATATGTAGATTCCCATATATATAGATTCCATATATGTAGATTCCCATATATATAGATTCCATATATGTAGATTCCCATATATATAGATTCCCATATATATAGATTTCCATGTATATAGATTCCCATATATATAGATTTCCATATATAGATTTCCATATATGATTTCCATATATGATTTCCATTTATAGATTTCCATATGTAGATTTCCATATGTAGATTTCCATATGTATATTTCCGTGTATAGATTTCCATATGTATATTTCCGTATATAGATTTCCATATATATATTTCCGTATATAGATTTCATATATATAGATATCCATATATATAGATTTCCATATATAGATTTAATATATATAGATTTCCATATATAGATTTCCACATATAGATTTCCATATATATAGATTTCCACATATATAGATTTCCATATATAGATTTCCACATATATAGATTTCCATATATAGATTTCCATATAGATTTCCATATATATATATTTCCACATATAGATTTCCATATATATAGATTTCCATATATAGATTTCCATATATATATATTCCATATATATATATATTTCCATATATATATATTTGAGATGGAGTCTCGCTCTGTCGCCCAGGCTGGAGTGCAGTGGCACCATCTTGGCTCACTGTAAGCTCTACCTCCCGGGTTCAGGGCATTCTCCTGCCTCAGCCTCCAGAGTAGCTGTGACTACAGGCGCCTGCCACCCTGCCTGGCTAATTTTTTGTATTTTTAGTAGTGATGGGGTTTCACCGTTTCCCCACATATTTTTAGTCCATACTTGGTTGAATTTGTAGCTGCGGAACCCATGGATATGGCGTGCTGATAGTACTCCTGTCATTATATTGATTTCTGACTGTTTTGTGCTTCCTTTTTTCTATTCTTCTATTGTAAATTAGGTGATTTTCTCTAATGTTTTGCATTGATTTATTTGTCTTTATCTTTTATGTATCTACTACAAGTTTTGTCTTTATGGTTACCATAAAAAGTATATAAAACTCTTATAAATAAAACAACTTAATTTCAACTGTATACAAAAATTCTACACTTTTTCTCCTCTCCCATATTTTGTTACTGTTGTAACCATGTTTGTCTTATATGTATTGTGCATATATTGACAGATTATTGTAGCTATAATTATTTTTAATGCTTTTGTCTTTTAACTTTTATGCTAGAATTAAAAGTGATTTATGTATTACCATTACAGTATTAGAGCAATATGAATTTGACCATATTCTAACCTTTATGGTAAGTTTTATATTTTTTTATGTTTTCATGGTGTTAGTTAGCAAGGGATGTCCTGCAGCCTAGGTCTGTGGGAGAGGAACCTGATATGATTTGGCTGCATCCCCACCCAAATCTCATCTTGAATTGTACTCCCATAATTCCCATGTGTTGTGTGAGGGACCCAGTGGGAGATAATTTGAATCATGGGGGCAGTTTCCCTCATACTGTTCTTTTGGTAGTGAGTAAGTTTCAAGAGATCTGATGATTCTATCAGGGGTTTCCACTTCTGCATCTTCCTCATATTACCTTGCTGCCACCATGTAAGAAGTGTGTTTTGCCTCCTACCATTATTCTGAGGCATCCCCAGCCATGTGGAACTGTAAATCCAATTAAACCTCTTTTTCTTTCCAGTCTCAGGTATGTCTTTATCAGCAGCATGAAACGGACTAGTTTGCTAAATTTGTACCAGTAGAGTGGGGCATTGATGAAAATATAACTGAAAATGTGGAAGCGACTTTGGAACTGGGTAACAGGCAGAGGTTGGAATGGTTGGGAGGGCTCAGAAGAAGACAGGAAAGTGTGGGAAGGTTTGGAACTTCCTAGAGACTTATTGAATGACTTTGTCCAAAAGCCTGATAGCAATATGGACAGTAAGGTATAGGCTGAGGTGGTCTCAGATGGAGATGAGGAATTTGCTGGGAGCTGGAGCAAAGGTAACTCCTATTATGTTTTAACAAAGGGATTGGTGGCATTTTGCCCCTGCCCTAGAGATCTGTAGAACTTTGAACTTGACAGGATGATTTAGGGTATCTGACAGAAGAAATTTTTCTAAGCAGCAAAGCATTCAAGAGGTGACTTGGGTGCTGTTAAATGCATTCCATTTTGTAAGGGAAGCAGAGCACAAAAGTTTGGAAAATTTGCATCCTGACAATATGATAGAAAAGAAAAAACCCATTTTCTGAGGAGAAATTCAAGCCAGCTGCAGAAATTTGCATAACTAATGAGGAGCTAAATGTTAATCACCAAGACAGTGGGGAAAATGTCTCAGGGCACATCAGAGGTCTTCATAGCAGCCCCTCTCATTACAGATCTGGAGGCCTAGGAGAAAATGGTTTCATGAGCTGAGCCCAGGGTCCCCAGGCTATGTACAACCTAAGGACATGGTGCCATGTGTCACAGCTCCTCCAACTGTGGCTGAAAGGGGCCAACGTAGAGCTCGAGTTGTGACTTCAGAGGGTGCAAGCCTCAAGCCTTGGCAGCTTCCATGTGCTATTGAGACTGCAAGTACACAGAAGTAAAGAATTGGGGTTTGAGAACCTCTGCCTAGATTTCAGAAGATGTAGGAAAATACCTGGATGTCCAGGCAGAAGTTTGCTGCAGGAGTGGGGTGCTCAAGGAGAACCTCTGCTAGGGCAGTGTAGAAAGGAAATGTGGGGTCAAAGCCCCCACACAGAGACCCTACTGGGGCACCACCTAGTGGAGCTATGAGAAGAGGGCCACTGTCTTCCAGACCCCAGAATGGTAGATCCACCAACAGCTTTCAACATTCATCTGGAAAAGCCACAGGCACTCAATACCAGCCTGTGAAAGCAGCTGGGAGGGACGCTGTGCCCTACAAACCCGCAGTGGTGGAGCTGTCCAAGACCATGGGAACCCATCTCTTGCATCAACATGACCTGGATGTGAGACCCGAAGTCAAAGGAGATCATTTTGGAGCTTTAAAATTTGACTGCCCCACTGGATTTTGGACTTGCATGGGCTCTGTAACCCTTGTGTTTTGGCCAATTTCTCCCATTTGCAATGACTGTATTTACCCAATACCTGTACCCCAATTGTATCTAGGAAGTTACCAGTTTGCTTTTATTTTACAGGCCCATAGGCAGAAGGGACTTGCCTTGTCTCAGATGAGACTTTGGATTGTGGACTTTTTAGTTAATGTTGAAATGAGTCAAGATTTTGCAGAACTATTGGGAAGGCATGATTGGTTTTGCAATGTGAGGACAAGAGATTTGGAGGGGCCAGAGGCAGAATGATATGGTTTGGCTCTATCCCCATCCAAATCTCATCTTGAATTATACCTCCAGAATTCCCAAGTGTTGTGGGAAGAGCCCAGTGGGAAATAATTTGAATCATGGGGTCAGCTTCCCCCATTCTGCTCTCTGGGCAGTGATTAAGTCTCACAAGATCTGATGGTTTTATCAGAGTTTTCTGCTTTTGCATCTTCCTCATTTTCTCTTGCCACCACCATGTAAGAAGTGCCTTCTACCTCCTGCAATGATTCTGAGGCCTGCCAAGCCATGCGGCACTGTAAGTCCCATTAAACCTCTTTTCCTTCCCAGTCTTGGGTATGCCTTTATCAGCAGTGTGAAAACAGACTAATATAGTACTGTAGCTCATTACTGAGTTTCACTGAAGCAGAAGTGGCCCCTAGGTTGGCTAGAGGATGAAGCTGTGGGGGCCATCTTGGACCCTGGGTCTACTGAAGCATGGGACTACAGTGGCTAACTTGGAGCCTGGGGCCAAGGGGACCACTGTGATGACTGATGGTAAAGAAGTTGGCCTGACACTGTAATGAGCCTGGAGTCTGGGGCCAAAGGAGCCAGCCTAATGCTGGTGACAGACTGGGATGTTTATTTCTGTTGTTGAGTTGTAACAGTTCTTTACATGTTCTGGCTATTACATCCTCATCTGATATATAATTTGCAAATATTTTAATCCATCCTGTGGGTATTTTCACTCTCTTGGTAGTATTCTTTGATGCGCAAACTTTTTTTTTATTTTGGTGAAGAAAAACAATGTATTTAATTAATTTTTCTTTTGTTGCCTTGCTTTTAGTGACATATTTAAGAAACTATTGGTCAAATCTCTGGTCATGAAGATTTTCTCCCATGCTTTCTACTAACATCTTTATAGTTTTAGCTCTTAAATTTAGGTATGCTCTATTTTAAATTAAGTTTTGTACCTGGTGTGGGGTCCTGTGTTCTCAATACTGAATATGTTTTGTATTCATGGCCCCAAGTGAAAATTTATGATTAGCTGAGTTAGATTCACACTTCATCCTACTACCATCTCTCAGCCCCGGTGAATTTCCAGGAAAGTAGGTATGAAGGATACATGGCTTCTTATATATCTATGTCTGTATGTATCTATATATCATATCATATATATATCCTATCAGTGGTCACCAGGGATTGAGGGGAAGAGGGGACGGAAGTATGTATAGGCAGAGCACAGAGCATTTCTAGAGCAGTCAAAACATTCTCTATGACTAGGATAGTGGATATCATTGTACATTTGTTTTGCTGAAAGATCGAGTGAGATGAGAGCTAAAAATTTTCTTTAAATGCTATAGCATGAAATCACCGTGGACCTCACCAAGAGCTCTTGTGTTGAAGATACTCAATTAGAAAAAGTTGGGGAGTGAATAAGTAGTGCAGAAATGGAAAGAAAATGTATAGACAACACTTTCAAGATAATAAGGGGAAAAAGAAAGCAAATTATGAAAGGAGTAATTTTTGTTTTCTTTAAAGATGAGATTAGAAAGAAGGAATAATCTAAGTTTATTTTAAAAGTCAAAAGTATAAGAAACCACAGTACAGATAGTGAAAGGACTAGAACCAGAAAAAAAAGAAAAGGATGGGTATATTTATATATACTTTTGTAGGTTTAGTGTCAGAAAATTGAGAGTTCCTATCCAATTACTTGCATTTTCTCAGGAAAGTAAGAAGCAATGTCTTCTGCTAATAGTGTATGTGAGTGTGAAAGCTGGTAGGAAGGAGTTTCGATAAGATGATGACCATTGCACAAAACAGACAAAATATCTTCCTTGGTATAATTTACAAATATATTTATTGAAACAATGAACAAGAGATTTTACATTGTATGACAAAAAAAGTGAAAATAGGAAAGAGTAATGCATCTATAATGAAAGAGTCATAGGGCTGGAATTTCTGATTATGGGGATGAAAGTTTCTAGTGGGAATAGCGAGAAAGGAATTTGAGTGAAGAGGAATGCCATTAAATCTCTGCCAAATTCTTCAGAGAGTAGGGGACAGAGGGGAAGGACTGACCGAAGTATCAGGAGAAGAGAAAATAGATAAGAAGAGGTAAAAGGTAATTGAAGATAATGGTGTAAATCTTAATGATGTAGGAAGTTTTATTAAACTCATCATAAATACAATGATTATGTAATAATCATCATGGAGCTGCAATGGAAAGGAAAAAAATGACACAATTCTGCCTCCTGACCATCAGGGAAATAAGCTCAAAAGGAAAAGATGCAGAGGAAGTGGCATCCTCAAAGAGGAGGAAAGTGTAAGCTGGGGGAATGCAAGAAAAGTAGCTGGCACATGATTTGTGACTCTTCATTAAATTGAGTCCCAATGATTTCTTGGACAAAAATGAATATTGAGTCAGTGCACAGAGGACATATTTCAACCTGCTTGAGATGGCACTTGGCAAGCAATAGAGGTTCTATCAAAGACTAACTCGGCTGGCACTACATCAGCATATGGTCCATTAGGCTGTGTGAAAATTGACAAAATGGAGTCATGCAAATGAGGGCCACACAGCCATCTTTCCTTGCTCTGCTACTCTGCTAACATAGCAATATTCTAATTAGGTGGCTTCTCATACAGGTTTCTTACAGAGAGGGAATATGCTTGGAAAACAAATATGAATGTCTAACCTTCATATAATTGTATTTCTTACTAGAAATTAATGAATTCATATATATATATATATATATATATATATATATATATATAGGTTTTATACATTTTTTTCGTGAACATTGTGAGGGTAAATCAGAAACCTCAGGGGATCAATTCTGGAACACTGGAAGATTCAGACACAGCCAGAGTTTTAGCCAACTCTGGATTTACTTTTATTACTGAAAACAAGTCTATTAACACTGAATGTATCTATAGCCTGAGAGCCTCTATAATAATGGAGCCTGAGAGCCTCCATTGCCCTGAAAATAAACTATAGCTTCTATGTGTGTCTTGCCTACAAATCCATGTTTGGAAGACAGAAATGATGTCTTATTTGCTTTATATCTGCAGTATCTAGAGCAGTGCCTAGTATGTGTGAAACAAATATGTAATAGTTTTTGAAATGAATTGAATAGTTACTCCAACGGTGACATTGCAGGAAAAGAAAGATCTTTTCCACTGAACAAGATTATAATATTCATAGGCATCTAACAATTACTTTCTTTGAGATCTAAAGAGCAGGTTTCTTATGTGGCAGAATGCACTATGTGGAAGGACTATGTGGCATGTTCTTTTGTCTAACAGGTCTCTGTGGCAGGTTGTACTAAGTGGCTGATATATACAACATGTTGAACTATATGACAGATCATGTCATTATTCATTTTGCAGAATGGGGTCTTTAGATTTTTGAAACAGCTTGTCTTCTTGCCCCTTTAAATGGTGTGGTATGGGTGGGCACCATGACAATTTGCCCAGCTATTTCAATGGATATCCTAAAACTTTTTTTAAAGGTTTAAATGGCAGGTTTAACACAGGTTTTGTTTATATGTGTCTGATCTTATGTAGTATGTGCTTAGAACAGAATACTTAACACATAAATGATTTTGATACTCAAGCTGCAAGCATTAAATAATTCTGTCCAATATTTTGGAGATTTCTCATCCGTATTATAGCAAATGAGCACTTTCCAAGGCAAGAAATTTAGTAGCGACCTTTTTAGATCAAAATACAAAATACTTTTTTTTTTCTGACTGCAAGTAAACTATGAAGAACATACAGTTTTTTCTAAAGCTAATTTATAGGTTATTGAATTTTTCTTAGTGTTTACTTCCATTGTTTATTTTAGCAAGTAAGTTTTAATAAGATGAAGAGAAATGCAAGAGTCAGGAAATTGGGCAGATAACTAAAATTATCTTCCTAAGACATAAGGCAATTGCTGACATTTGCCTTCCTCAAGGGCCAAACAGCCAACCAACAGTGTCCTTGGGAGCAGAGCTGAGTTTCTAAACCTACGGCTAGAAACATGGAGATCCAAATCCATATATGGAGATACTTCACAGAAGGAAAAAAAGCAGAAATAAACTCTTGGGAAAGAAAGAATCAGACCCACTTGGACAAAACAAAGAACTTGGTCAATCAGACAAGAATTGTGAGCCCCTCACACTTTGTGCCCAAATCTGAGCTACCATAAGATGCAGAGTTATAGAAGAAAAAAAAAAAAAAAGGCATTCTTATCTTTAGAAAACATGTTGTCCAGCATAGATGTAAGAGTGAAAGTCCAAAATTGAGCCATATACAACTACTAAGGAATAACCATGCACTAATCAATGAAATAATAAAAGAAAATATAAAATGAGCTCAAAGAAGAGATAGAACTATATATAGACTGGAGATCAAGACAGTCAAGATTCCTAGCTACAGTTAAATACAGCTGTTGCACAGAGAAGCTTGCCAAGGCTAAACCACTGCTTTTACATGCTTTTGCAAGTTAATATTTTTTTTTGCCATTAGTTAACTCATTTCCCCTAAAGTTCTTAGAAAAATAATAAACACAGTGGAATTGGCTGTCGTAACACGGACAGAGTTTTCTTTCAATGAAATTGTTTTCAGTTTTGTTTTTTCATTTTTTTTGTTTTGTTTTGTTTTTTAACAATCACCAAATCACCATCATTAAATCATTCTTTTCTTCTCCTTTTCTAGATGGGGCTATCATGTAGACATAATCCTAAATAAGATGAACTACTCATTAGATGAATGGCAATTTGTCAGTGATTTATTAACTAAGAATTGTGCACGCTCACCTTAAAACATAAATTTAAGTCATTGTTATCTTTTTGCTTTACTTCACTGTAAATTTCTTTACATTTTTTTTTGCTGGAAAATTTCTGAATTTGATTTATCCAGTACTTTCAGAAACTCATATTAAAGACAAATGAGTAGATACTGAGCATATCTCATAAAACATGTTTGAAAAATAATTTTTGAGAGATAGAAAACCTTTTTGGTCAACCCTGCAGTTGGTTTTCAAAGGTCATTTTTTTTCAACCCAAATTCAATTAGTCTTATAAAATGTGAGTTAATCATGTCCATCCAATTCCCAACATATCCTGATCCAGAAGCATGTGGAGCTGGTGATAGGTACATGGAAAATAACAAATATGCCTTTAGTTTCCTCCTGGCCATTCCACTTGATGAAGTCCAATTAACTTAAGAAGAATTTGGTCTTCTAGAGAAAATTTCAGTGACTATTGAAGTAAAAGACTATTGACTCTGAGAAGGCAGTTTAGGAGAATAATCAGTGTTTATTTATACCATAAGGTAGATTTTGTAATGTCCTTTTATTAGCGTTTTAAAAAATCATAAATGGATGAAAATGCATTTGAGAAATTTTAACAAAAAAAACCCAAATTCAAAATAATTATAATCATTTTGTATTTAGATACTTAAAAATTGCTCTTAATGTTTTTTCTTATATAGTAACTTTCATATCTTATATTCAGTCAGATATTCTTGGGAATACTGCAAAATCTCATGATTTATTTTGTTTTAACATTTTGAGATTAAAAACATTCAGATGAGAAAAAAAGCTATAAGTAGCATCATAAAATTTTCTGAAATACAAGATCCTTTGGGTGAAACTTGACTGATATTAGTATTTTATAATAAAAACAGTATTTTTGCTACTTCATTGAATTGAATTCACCTCCATAAAGTTTATAGGAAGCTATAACTATTAAAAAATAGCAAAGAGGTCTTTATTACAGGAAAATGCAGATACCCACCCCCCCGTTTTTTTTTAATCAAATAAGTCAAGCTCATTAAGGAAGTTAAAAACAAAGTTTCTTTTTTATGGTTCCACTAACAGGTTTCTGTAGGCTGAAAATGGACTCTAATCCTGTTGACTGGCAGTGCATTTTTATTTTGCCCGGCTCTCCTGCCCCTGCCCTGCTGAAAACACACATGGCTGGACAAAACGCTTGAAAACAGTGATCTCATTGTGATGGTCCCTAACTCTGGCCTTAGTGCTGTTAGATGATTGAGAAGCACAACTTGCTTCACAGATGTGGAAACCGTGTAATTCTGGGCTTCCTCCAGGAAAGAATGAGCTTTGATAGGCTGGAACTAAAGCTTTTCTAAAGGTACAAAATAACCGTGAATTTCCTATTACTATGGACAACTATTTCAGATATTCACAGCCAATTTAAGCATGGTGGCTAACAGCTGTTCATGATATTGCTGCCTTAGAGTATATATACCTTCTAGTAAGAGTGAGAGGTACATTCCTCACTCTCTTTTTTTTTAGGAAATTATAACCATGTTATTTTCTTAAAAAATATCTAGTACACTAGTTTACTTGTTTTGTTTAGTTCTGAACATTTATATAAAAGTTTTATAAGTAATGTGAGGAGACACTATATACTTCATTTATAAATGCTGGGATTTTGCCTCTAAATCACATCTAATATTTTAAGAATTTTTAAAAATTTAATACAAATTTGTCTTATTTACAAAGTTTGAGAAGTAGCTTTCTACTTTTTCTCAATTCAGCTAAGAAAACTCACTTTGATGCTATAGGTCCCTATACCTAGAGATGCAACCCATATAAACTAGGGTATTTTTTCAATTTCCTTTTAATTGTTATCATTAATAGAACTTTAGTTCACAGAGAAAATCAAATACAACAAAAAGGGAAAGAACTTTTATACGTACTGTTAAAAATTCTATTTTGTTTCATTGAATGTGTAACATTTTGACTATCTACATTCAAGCTCGCTCTCCCTCTCTCAACCTAGAGAAAACTTTTATTATAATCATATAAAGTTTTAGCATTAATTTAGATCTGTGAAATTGGCTTCAACTTGTGAAATATTAATGCCATAGATAACAAAAGCATAGGATATAATGTTTTATACATATTATTCAATAACAGCAGAAGATGATGATGTTGGAGGAGCAGGTAAAATTTAGGTGCAAGCTAAACTCTAATGTGAACTTCTGGAAAAAGAAATCATGCAATAATAATTTTTTTTCCTCTTCAAACACAGAAGTCTTTCAATGTGAAAATGAATTGCCTTGGTTTCAGGGGACAATTTGTACCCATGGTTACTGTACATTGGAAAAGTGCTTGTATACTTAAATAGATGACTAAGTCTACTTTTGTACCCTGCAAATCATTTTATATTCAGCACTTCAATTAATTATTGTTTACATCCAATTGAGGGAAACTTATGAGAATTGGAGTATTGAATATACTTAGGTCGTCTTGTACTTGCAAGACTTTTTCCTGGATTGCTTTGGGAACCCAGATTGATAAATTAAAAAATGTTATTGCATTTGTTTAAATGATCATATTTCCATATCACAATCAAGGACTATTATTGTTTTATAAAATATATCTAATTATTAACTACATGATCTAACAAAATGTTCATGCAAGCTTAGATTAACTATGCATGCATTTCCAATTCGTTTTAAAAGGTGTATTTGGTTTGGTCTTGTGTTGTTTCTTTATTTTTATTGTTATACTTTAAGTTCTGGGATACATGTGCAGAATGCACAGGTTTGTTACATAGGTATACATGTGCCATGGTGGATTGCTGCACCCATGAACCCGTCATCAACATTAGGTATTTCTCCTAATGCTATCCCTCCCCTTGCTCCCCTTCCTCAACAGGACCTGATATGTGCCCATATGTTCTCATTGTTCAACTCCCACTTATGAGTGAGAACATGCGGTGTTTGGTTTTCTGCTCCTGTGTTAGTTTCCTGAGAATGATGGGTTCCAGCTTCATCCATGTCCCTGCATAGGACATTAACTCACTCTTTTCTATGGCTGCATAGTATTCCATGGTGTATATGTGCCACATTTTCTTTATCCAATCTAACATTGATGGGCATTTGGGTTGGTTCCAAGTCTTTGCTATTGTGAATAGTGCTGCAGTAAACATACGTGTGCATGTGTTTTCATAGCAGAATGATTTATAATCCTGTGGGTATATACCCAGTAATGGGATCGCTGGGTTATATGGTATTTCTAGTTCTAGATCCTTGAGGAATCGCCACATTGTCTTCCACAATGGATGAACTAATTTACACTCCCTCCAACCAGTGTAAAAACGTTCCTATTTCTCCACATCCTCTCCAGCATCTATTGTTTCCTGACTTTTTAAAGATTGCCATTCTAATTGGCATGAGATGGTATCTCTGTGGTTTTGATTTGCATTTCTCTAATGACCAGTGATGATGAGCTTTTTTTTTATATGTTTCTTGGCCACATAAATGTGTTCTTTTGAGAACTGTCTGTTCATATCCTTTGCCCAGTTATTGATGGTTTTTTTTTCTTGTTAATTTTTTTAAGTTCCTCATAGATTCTGGATATTAGCCCTTTGTCAGAAGGATAGATTGCAAAAATATTCTCCCATTCTGTAGGTTGTCTGTTCACTCTGATAATACTTTCTTTTGCTGTGCAGAAACTTTTTAGTTTAATTAGATCCCTTTTGTCCATTTTAGCTTCTGTTGCAATTGCTTTTGGTGTTTTAGTCATGAAGTCTTTGCCCATGCCTATGTCCTGAATGGTATTGCCTAGGTCTTCTTTAGTGTTTTAATGGTTTTAGGTCTTATGTTTAAATCTTTAATCCATCTTTAGTTGATTTTTGTATAAGGTGTAAGGAAGGGGTCCAATTTCAGTTTTCTGCATATGGCTAGCCAGTTTTCTCAATACCACTTATTAAATAGGGAATCCTTTCCCCATTGCTTATTTTTGTCAGGTTTGTCAAAGATCAGATGGTTATAGATGTGTGGTGTTATTTCTTAGGCCTTTGTCCTGTTCCATTGGTCTATATATCTGTTTTGGCACCAGTACTATGCTGTTTTGGTTACTGTAGTATTGTAGTATAGTTTGAAGTCACGTAGCATGATGCCTCCAGCTTTGTTCTTTTTGCTTAGGATTGTCTTGGCAATGCGGGCTCTTCTTTGGTTCGATATGAAATTTAAAATAGTTTTTTTCTAATTCTGTGAAGAATGTCAGTGGTAGCTTGATGGTAATAGCATTGAATCTATAAATTACTTTGGGCAATATGGCCATTTTCACAATATTGATTCTTCCTATCCGTGAGCATGGAATGTTTTTCCATTTGTTTGTGTCCTCTCTTATTTCCTTGAGCACTGGTTTGTAGTTCTCCTTGAGGAGGACCTTCACATTCCTTTTAAGTTGTATTCCTAGGTATTTTATTCTCCTTGTAGCAATTGTGAATGGGAGTTTGCTCATGACTGGCTCTCTGTTGGTCTATTATGGGTGCATAGGAATGCTTGTGATTTTTGCACATTAGTTTTTGTATCCTGAGACTTTGCTGAAGTTGCTTATCAGCTTAAGAGGTTTTGGGGCTGAGACAATGGGATTTTCTAAATATACAATAATGTCATCTACAAACAAACATAATTTGATTTCCTCTCTCTATTTGAATACCATTTATATCTTTGTCTTGCCTGATTGCCCAGGCCGGAATTCCAACACTATGTTGAATACGAATGGTGAGAGAGAACATCCTTGTCTTGTGCCGGTTTTCAAAGGGAATGCTTCCAGCTTTTGTCCACTCAGTATTATATTGGCTGTGGGTTTGTCATGAATAGCTCTTATTATTTTGAGATGTGTTCCATCAATGCCTAGTTTATTGAGTGTTTTTAGCATGAAGGGGTGTTGAATTTTATTGAAAGCCTTTTCTGTATCTATTGAAATAATAATGTGGTTTTTGTCATCGGTTATGTTTATGTGATGAATTTCATTTATTGATTTGCATATGCTGAACCAGACTTGCATCCCAGGGGTGAAGCCGACTTGATAGTGGTGGATAAGCTTTTTAATGTGCTGCTAGATTCAGTTTGCTTGTATTTTATTGAGGATTTTCACATCAATGTTCATCAGGTATATTGGCCTGAAATTTTCTTTTTTTTCTGTGTCTCTGCCAGGTTTTGGTATCAGCATGTTGCTGGCCTCATAGAATAATTTAGAGAGGAATTGCTCTTTTTCTATTGTTTGGAATACTTTCAGAAGGAATGGAACGAGTTCCTCTTTCTACCTCTGGTAGAATTTGGCTGTGAATTTGTCTAGTCCTGGGCTTTTTTTGGTTGGTAGGTGATTAATGACTGCCTCAATTTCAGAACTTGTTATTGGTCTATTCAGGGATTCGGCTTCTTCCTGGTTTAGTCTTGGGAGGGTGTATGTGTCTAGGAATTTATCCATTTCTTCTAGATTTTCTAGTTTATTTGTGTAAAGGTGTTCATAATATTCTCTGAGGGTAGTTTGTATTTCTGTGGGATCAGTGGTGATCTCCCCTTTATCATTTTTATTGTGTCTATTTGATTCTTCTTTTTTCTTGTTTATTAGTCTGGCTAGTAGTCTATCTATTTTGTTAATCTTTTCAAAAAACCAGCTCCTGAATTCATTGATTTTTTGAAGGGTTTTTCATGTCTCTATCTCCTTCAGTTCTGCTCTGATCTTAGTTATTTCTTGTCTTCTGCTAGCTTTTGAATTTTTTTGCTCTTGCTTCTATAGTTCTTTTAATTGTGATGTTAGGTTGTTGATTTTAGATCATTCCCACTTTCTCCTATGGGCATTTAGTGCTATAAATTTCCCTCTAAACCCTGCTTTAGCTGTGTCCCAGAGATTCTGGTACATTGTGTCTGTGTTCTCATTGGTTTCAAAGAACTTATTTATTTCTGTCTTAATTTTGTTATTTACCTGTAGTTGTGTGGTTTTGAGTGAGTTTCCTAATCCTGAGTTCTAATTTGATTGCACTGTGCTCTGAGAGACTATTTGTTGTAATTTCCATTCGTTTGCATTTGCTGAGGAGTGTTTTACTTTCAATGATGTGGTCTATTTTAGAATAAGTGCTATGTGGTTCTAAGAAGAATGTATATTCTGTTGATTTGGGGTAGAGAGGTCTGTAAATGTCTATTAGGTCTGCTTGGTCCAGAGCTGAGTTCAAGTCCTGAATATCCTTGTTAATTATCTGTCTCATCGATTTGTCTAATATTGACATTGGGGTGTTAAAGTCTCCTACTCTTATTGTGTGGGAGTCTAGGTCTCTTTGTAGGTCTCTAATAACTTGCTTTATAAATCTGGGTGCTCCTGTACTGGGTGCATATATATTTAGGATAATTAGCTCTTCTTGTTGCATTGATCCCTTTACCATTATGTAATGCCATTCTTCGTCTTTTTTGATCTTTGTTGCTTTAAAGTCTGTTTTATCAGAGACTAGGTTTGCAACCTCAGCTTTTTTTTCTGCTTCCCATTTTCTTGGTAAATCTTTCTCCATCCCTTTATTTTCAGCCTATTTGTGTCTTTGCATGTGAGATGGGTCTCCTGAATACAGCACAACAATGGGTCTTGACTCTATCCAATTTGCCAGTCTGTGTCTTTTAATTGGGGCATTTACCCTGTTTACATTTAAGGTTAATATTATTATGTACAAATTTGATCCTGTCATTATGATGCTAACTGGTTATTTTGCCCATTAGTTGATGCAGTTTCTTCATGGCATTGATGGTCTTTACATTTTGGTTTGTTTTTGCAGTGGCTGGTACCAGTTTTTCCTTTCCATATTTAGTGTTTCCTTCAGGAGCTCTTGTAAGGCAGGCCTGGTGGTGACAAAATTCCTCAGCATTGTCTGTAAAGGATTTTATTTCTCCTTCACTTATGATGCTTAGTTTGGCGAATATGAAATTCTGGGTTGAAAATTATTTTCCTTAAGAATGTTGAATATCGGCCCCCACTCTCTTCTTACTTGTAGGGTGTCTGCAGAGAGATCTGCTGTTGGTCTAATGGGCTTCCCTTTGTGGGTAACCCGACTTTTCTCTCTGGCTGCCCTTAATATTTTTTCCGTCATTTCAACCTTGGTGAACCTGATGACTATGTGTCTTGGAGTTTCTCTTCTCAAGGAGTATCTTTGTGGTTTTCTCTGTATTTCCTGAATTTGAATGTTGGCCTGTTTTGCTAGGTTGGGGAAGTTCTTCTGGATAATATCCTAAAGTGTGTTTCCAAACTTGGTTCCATTCTCCCCATCACTTTCAGGTACACCAATCAAACATAGGTTTGGTCTTTTCACATAGTCCCTTATTTCTTGGAGGCTTTGTTCATTCCTTTTTATTCTTTTTTACCTAATCTTGTCTTCACACTTTATTTCATTAAGTTGATCTTCAATCTCTGATACCCTTTCTTCTGCTTGATCAATTTGGCTATTGATACTTGTGTATCCCTCACGAAGGTCTTATGCTGTGTTTTTCAGCTCCATCAGATCATTTATGTTCTTCTCTACATTGGTTATGCTAGTTAGCAATTCCTCTAACCTTTTATCAAGGTTCTTAGCTTCCTTGCATTGGGTTAGAACATGCTCCTTTAGCTCAGAAAAGTTTGTTATTACCTACCTTCTGAAGCCTACTACTGTCAATTCGTCAAACGCATTCTCCATCAGTTTTTTCCCTTGGTGGCAAGGAATTGTGATCCTTTGGAGCAGAAGAGGCTTTCTGTTTTTTGGAATTTTCGGTCTTTTTTCACTGTTTTTTTCTCAATTTTGTGGATGTATCTACCTTTGGTCTTTGATGTTGGTGACCTTAGTATGGAGTTTTTGTGGGGTCATCCTTTTTGTTGATTTTGATGCTATTGCTTTCTATTGGTTAGTTTTCCTTCTAACAGTCAGGCCCCTCTTCTGCAGGTTTGCTAGAGTTTGCTAAGGCATCCACTCCAGATCCTCTTTGCCTGGGTATCACCAGCAGAGGCTGTAGAACAGCAAAGATTGCTGCCTGCTCCTTCCTCTGGAAACTTTGTCCCAGAGGGGCACCTGCCAGATGCCAGCCGGAGCTCTCCTGTATGAGGTGTCTGTCAACCTCTGCTGGGAGGTGTCTCCCTGTCAGGAGACATGGGGTCAGGGACCCACCTGAGAAGGCAGAATGTCCCTTAGCAGAGCTTGAGCCGAGCATTGTGCTGGGAGATCCACTGCTCTCTTCAGAGCCAGCAGGCAGGAACATTTAAGTCTGCTGAAGCTGAGCCCACAGCCGCCCCTTTCCCCAGGTGCTCTGTCTTTGAGAAATGGGAGTTTTATCTATAAGCCCCTGACTGGGGCTGCCGCCTTTCTTTCAGAGATTCCCTACCCAGAGAGGAGGAATCTAGAGAGGCAGTCTGGCTACAGAGGCTTTGCCCAGCTCTGGTAGGCTCCGCCCAATCCAAACTTCCAGGTGGCTTTGTTTACACTGAGCTAGAAATGCAGAAATCACCTGCCTTCTGCATTGTTCTCCCTGGGAGCTGCAGACAGGAGCTGTTCCTATTTGGCCATCTTGCCTGGGAATCCTCATGTTGTTTCTTAAAGGAGAAGACCTAGTAATAAAAACAGAAATGCCTTTTAAATATTTTAACAATGATGGTTGATAGAAAAGGTAAGTTATTGAGAAATGTTTTTATATTTTAATTTTAAAAATCATTATTGTTGTAATCAATATAGAATTGTATATTTTACAGCAAAATGTTAATGCACATCAGTGTTATTAAAACTCATTTGTAGTACAGCAAACCAACATGGCACATGTATACCTATGTTTCAAACCTGCATGTTGTGCACATATACCCTAGAACTTAAAGTATAATAATAAAAGTAAAATAAAATAAAAATAAAAATAAAAAATCTTGAAATAGAAAAACAAAAACGAAAAACTCATTTGTACTTCTCCAAAAATAACTTTCTATTTGTCTTGAAGAGTATTTAACTTTATGGTATCTGATTTTTAACCCATCTCAAATTTAATATTAAATCTTGGAAATGACATTCGACTATATTTTTATAGTTCTAAAGTATATTAATGATTAACATTGCCTTATTTTGATATATTTTTTCATGATTATATTTACATACAAAATTCTAAAGCTACTTAAAACTACAAAAATATGTTTATTTCTTCAAATACATGGATTCATTTCTCTTCAAATACATTAAATTAATAAACAATAAGCAATCTCAAACTTTTTAAACATTTGTGACTGAGCCTAAATAAACATAGTTTTGTGTTTATGTTTTCTTTGGTAAATGAATAAAATAATGCCTTCACAAAGTTATAAATTCAAATACTACAAAAGGGATCATAATGGAAAATGCTACCTTCCCACACCAATAAGAACAACTAATCTTTATATAGTATAGTGTTTCCTATGGACCAGATATTAGTCTAAGTCTTCTGTGTGTAGACATATGTACATTAATTTTCACCACATCCTCATGTGGCAGGTAGTATTGTTTTCATGTTACAGATGATGAAACTGAAGCAAAAAGTATTAGGTAACTTGTCCAAAGTTGCATGGTTAGTAAGGGTCAGGGTCAGAATTTATAATCAGTATTTTTACTCCAGAGGCCATGGTCTTAGTCACTACTCTGTTCTCTTTCTCTCTGAGCATTATATTCCTGATGTGACTAGTGAATTTCTTCAACAGAAAATAATCACTGTATCCTTCATAAATCAGATGGGTAAAAAAAATATGGATATTTTTGGCCACGTTTTTTATTAGAGAACAAGTCAGTGGAAGGTCATGCTATAAAGGATGGATGTGTGTCTGCGCATTTGTCTGCATTTCACTGTAATAAGATTTGTTTGCTCATGGTAGTTACCTTTCTCTTTATGTTAATTATTCTAACAAAAGTAAAGGGGATTAAAACATTAAACGGTCACCAAATTCTCTTGCACGGCCCTTTCAAATGTGTCTCTCAGGGCTTGGATTAAGACCTTCTCCTGCTCTGCTGTGACAATATTCTTCAAGACAGATTTCACAGTAAGGAGAAGAAGCATTTAAAAACTGAGGCATGGTGGATATTTGTGTGTGGAGAAAGGGAAGGAATAAAAGGAGACAGATCCAGGGGAACAAGGAGCAAAACATTGCAGTGGTTGTTTAAATAATCTGAATTCCACTAATAACCAAGCATTGTAGAAATAAAATGCTTTAGAATGTGGACTTGGCATTGATTTATTTGTTAACTAACAAGTTGAACATAGCTTTCACATGGGGGCCCTTTCAATTTCCCTCCTAATTTAAATTGAAGCTGTGACACATGGTTCAGTTCCAACAAATGTGACTTTCCCCCAGCCCTCAGAATCTAAGCAATGCATCTCTCAGTTTAAAAAGAAGAAAAGTAATAATAAAATCTTTATAAGATATTATAATCTATTTGCTCCTTTGTTGAGGAATAGTGACAGTCATTTTACAGATTGGATACCGATTAGAAAATTTTTCAAATTTGCTTTGCATTCAGTTTCAGACCTGGACCACAGCTATCGATTATTAATTTGATTGGCGTGCACTTCATCTGATATAAATCTAAAATGTTGATTTAGACTGCATTTTGAATATCTCAATACATCTCTAAAATATGGAAACTCACCTAATAGCTAAACACTGCCTATTGAGGTGGGCTAAAATGTATATTTCTATTTAAGCTCATTTTTCTTATTAACATAGGAACCAGGGCTGTGTGAGTGTTGTGCTAGTAAAATCAAGTCAACCGATAGTCATTTCATACATTGTAGGCATTGTAGGGAATACTAGAGGAAAAAAAAAAAAAAGACACCTGCACAATCTAATTAGAAAGGCAAGATAAATGTTCCTCTAAATTTTAAGACAATACATTATAAATTAATAGATTGTTTTATACAAATATAAGTACTACTGGAAATTGAATGTTTGAAATACCTGTGTTTTTTTTTTTTTAATTTAGCCTGAGTTTCGCTTCCCAAGTTCAAGCGATTCTCCCGAATAGCTGGGACTACAGGTGTGCGCCACAATGCCTGGCTAACTTTTGTATTTTTAGTAGAGAAGGGGTTTCACCAGGTTGGCCAGGCTGGTCTCAAACTCCTGACAGGTGATCCTCCTGCTTCGGCCTCCCAAAGTGCTGGGATTACAAGAGTGAGCCACCATGCCTGGCCTTGAAATATCTCTGAGGTTGAATGATTAATAAAGTTTTTGTGAAGAAAATTGTTCTAAAAAATTGCATATGGTATTATGTTGCAGAAAAATAAGGAAGAGACTACAAGGGTGCAGTGGAAAATGTAGCTCTGGGATAGTGGAAGAAGAAAGCAAGGGAGAAGGGGCAATGACAGAAGTTAACTTACATTGTAGTATGATACAAAGCATTGCTAATGACGGAAGGTTTGTTTCCAGCCTCCCACTCTGCCCCAATTCATATGTTGGAGCTTAATTCCCGATGCCATAGTATTTGGAGATAGGGCTTTTGGGGGTGATTAGGTCATGAGGGTGGAGTCCTCATGGTGAAATTAGTGCTCTTATAAAAAGAGACACAAGAGAGTTTGCTTCCTCTCCCTGCTCTCCACCAGGTGAGGCTACACGGAACGGGGAGCTGGCTACAAATCAAGAAGCGGGCCCTCACCAGACACTGCATCTGCTGCCACCTTGATCTTCAACTTCCCAGCTTCTAGACTGTGAGAAATACATATGTGTTGTTTAAACTGCACCATTTATGGTAGTTTACTATGGAAGCCAAAACTAAGATAAATATGTTGAGTCACCCGTCGATGATGTGGACTGGCTGATGGTGCTAAGAATCTACCTCTCAAAAAGCTTTTACTCCTAACCTCCCAAGTAAAGACATGCTATTTTCAAGTTCTTTGTTTGGGTATTTCAGGGAAGATTACTCTCTTTACTGCCTTAGAGATTCCCCTTTTTCAGATCACCAGCGGCATCATGTTTTTCCTACTCTGCTATACTTCTGAGCCTCTCACTGTTTGATGGGCGGACCCAGTCCATGAGACTGCCCTTGTCTTAGGCTGGACAGAGCCATGCTTTCCATGTGACAGTGTATCATGTAGACCAAGCAGTATGTCGACACTTACCTGAGGTTCAGGTGTTTCCATGGAAGCTAGGGCCACTCATTCAGGTTACATGCTTAAGGACAACAGGTGCAGTCTCTTGATATGTAGTCTTATTACGATCTTCCTACCACAATCTCATCCCCTATCCAAGTCCCCTTATCTCTCACGGACCACACAACTTTAATTCTGCTTCCCAGACAACTATGAGGAAAAGTTTAAGCTGTTAAAAAAAAGGAGTTGAGCTGCTGTATCTTTGTATTGAAATATAAACAATTCAAAACTCAAACAGGAAAAAAAAGTTTTTTCTTTATATTTTGTAATTGATTAATTCTGGGAAGGGAGCAAGCATTATTCAGTGTAAAAGGAGATGTTCCACCTGTGCCTCCAATATTTCTCTACTTGTGGCTTTTGTGATCTGTAAATCCCATCCCTCCTAGATAAGCCATAACTCTTTTGCTGCCCCATCTCCAAGATCCTAGAAGAAACTAATCTGATACAATTGTAAACTTAAATGTATATGTCCTTGGAGTACAGTGTAACCCAGATATAAAATATCCTTATGATTTTCTAAACTCCAAAATACCACCCAGAGCAAGACATAAATAATGAAATTTAAGTGAGAATATTGCTCAGATATTTATCTTGAGTGGTTACCTGGGCGCGTGCTCTCTCTCTCTCTCATTGTTTTAAGTATTTTTTTTTTCTGGTTGCATAATACAGAGTCATGTATTAACAAAATGTCAAATTGCCACAGGTTTTGGAATCTTGTAGTAGCTTGTTGGCAAAGAGATACAGCAGAGAGGCTACTGTGTTTTCATTGTAAAAAGGATATCTGAAGAGGGAATATTAACCAAAAGGGAAATATAATAACAGTGTGGGAATAAAAGAAATTTTTGTTATCTTCCCTTAAAAATAATTGTTATTATGTTGAATTATAAGATATCTTTCACCGTAGCTTTGTGGGTGTTATCACAGGAGAGGGAAAAGGCTTAATAGCAAGTAAACAAAATTTATATTTTTAGGAGAGCATTTATTTAGATCACACCACATATTGGCATATAAACCAGTTCCTACCAAATGAGTCCATTGAGATGACATACTTATTTGTTGAAATCAGTGTTGTTTTGAAAATCAATGTTGCATTTACAGTCCACTTAAAAAGTAGAATAATTTATTAGTCCTACTTTTATACCCTAAACAAACACTTAAAAAAACAACACTTAAACACTTAAAAAAATCCATAGTATTAATTCTATTTATATGTTAGTCTACTTTAAGAATGTGCACAAATGGGAGGAAAAACCAATGGTAGAGACAGGGCAATGAAACCCAAGTCTACCCCTCACTTTATTACACTAGAGCTTCAACAAAATTGTATGAGCAATTCTCATTTTTCAGAAATGTTTGACAATCTTTTTGTTTGTTTGTTTTGTTTTTGGACACAGGGTCTCGCTCTGTTACCCAGGCTGGAGCGCAGTGGCGTGATTACAGCTCACTGCAGCCACAATTTCCTGGACTTAAGTCCTCAGCCTCCTGAATAGCTGGGACTACAGGCATGCACCACCACGCTTGGCTATTGTTTTTTTTTATTTTTTTGTAGAGATGGTGTATTAGTCCAATCTTGTATTTCTATAAAGAAATACCTGAGGCTGTGTAATTTATAGATAAAAAAGTTTTAATTGGCTCATGGTTCTGCAGGCTATACAGGAAACATAGCAGCTTCTGCTTTTGGGGAGGCCTCAAGCAGCTTCCAATCATGGCAGAAAGCAAAGGGAGAATGAGTCATCTCACATGGCCAAAGCAGGAGGAAAAGAGAGGGGCAGGCACTGCGCACTTTTAAACAATCAGATCTCATGAGAACTCACTATTGATGACAGCACCAAGGGGATGGGTGTTAAACCATAAGAAACTGCTCCCATGACCCAATCACCTCTCACCAAGCCCCACTTCCAACATCGGGAATTACAGTTTTACATAAGATTTGGATCGGGACACAGATCCAAACCATAGTAGACAGGAACTCACTGTGTTAAACAGGCTGGTCCTGAAATCTTGGGCTTAAGCAATCCTCCCATCTCAGCCTCCCAAAGCATTCTCCAAAAGTGTATATGTTGAAGTCTTAAACCCCAATCCCTCAGAATATGACTGAATTTGAAGATAGGGCCATACAAAAAGTGACTAAGTTAAGATGAGACAGGTTGAGTCCAAATCCAATATGATTTGTGTCTGTAGAAAGAGGAAATCTGGACACATGCAAGAAACACCAGGGATGCATGTGCACAGAGGAATGACCATGTGAGCACATAGTGGAGGGCAACCAACTACAAGCCAAGGAGAGAGACCTCAGAAGCAACCAATCCCCCTGACACCTTGATCTTGGACTTCTCAGCCTGTAGAACTGTGAAAAAATAAATTTTTGTTGTTTAAGACACTCAGTCTTGGTACTTTTTTATGGCAGCCCAAGTAAACTAATATGTATGCATATGCAGACATAGCAAATCCTTATATAGGTATAAATTCATTGCTATGTCATAGTTGTTAGAAACATGCATCAGAAAATGTTCTACAACTTTACATGCATTATTTCATTTAATCCTCAAAATATAGCAACAATGAGTTAGGTGCTATTTTAATGTCCATTTTACAAAGAAGAAATTGAGTCACAGGAGGTTTTAATAACTAATGTCTCACAGTCAGTCCAAAATCAGAGTTCAAACTCATAACCACTATTCTCCAAAAGAAACTTTTAAAATTAAAAAAATAAACAAATAAATAAAAATTTAGTTTTGTAGGCATGTAATGCAAATTGTACACCAATAAACCAAAAGCATGAAGCCCCAAAACTTTTGTTAAAAACAGGGAAAATTCAAGTGACTTTAAACCTAATTTAGGCATACGTGAGTGCATGTTACCAGATGTATTTTTATAAGAACATTTCAATGTTCATTTTCATGAGGAATGTGGATGACATGCAATTTTTAAAGCACTAAGAGTTGTTTTTAATGCAGCCTAGCCTATAATTTTAGAGTCCCTTAGCACATTAGTTTCAAGTATCCATTGGGCAATTCCATGATCACAGACACAAAGTAGATGTAACTCAGAAGAAAATGAAAGCTAATAACTCCCTTGTCTGGTCCGTGGCTAAAATGCTCATATTTTCAACTTGAAAAGTATTTCATTTTGCCCACATCATTTTGCGTAAAGATTTCAATAGGTCAAATATCTAGATTATATTGTTTTAACAGAAACACAATTTGATAATTTGAAATGTGTTATTAAGTATTGATAGGAGAGGCCCCCAGGGTATATAAGAATTTAGAATGTTTAGCATCAATTACTTCTAAATAATTATATCTAATAAGATAGAAATAGCATTTGAAGTTATGAAAAATAGTTATTACCACATGCCAGTTACTTTCCTAGATTATAAATGTAGAAATCAACAAGATAAAATCATTTCCTGTATTTGTCATAAATATGAGAAAAAGCCATCTCAAATTCATTTAATATTATGACTTTTCCTTGAAATGACTTTTTTGATGAAGCAGAAGGAAATGTTACCTGATGACCCAATAAATATAATCATAAATTGTAATTATTTAATTCTGTGAGTGGCAGTATTTTCTCTTATTTATACAATCTTATTCTTTGTGTGTCTTAAAATCTAAAAAATTGTACTTAGCACTTAATTATTTTCTCTAGCTATAACACTAATACATAACCATCATGGAAAATTCCCACATATTCTCCCTCCACCGCTGAAGATTAGTATCAGATATTGATATATTGCATTTCAGTTTCATATTTGTATACATGAGTATGTGCTCTCAAAGTTTGCTGCATGTATTCATTTATTCTTTTGTTTAGTTACTATAGTCAATGTGCATGGATAACAATTCTGTTTCAGAGCAACGGAAGGCAGAAACCATAAACTCTGTATTCAGAGATTTTAAAAAAATGTCTATTGATGGAGAGATCAGGAATCCAGATTTGGACATGCTAAGTTTGAGATGTGTATGAAACCCTCAAATGGAAATATGTTAAGCAGGGAGCCAGATATTGAGTTGTGCAGTTCAGAACAGAAGTCTTGTCCAGCTTTACTACATTTGGGAGTCAAAGGTATTTAAGACCATGCGGCCACATAAAGCAGAAAGACATCAGTGTGGCTGGAAAACAGAAGACACCAGGGATGAGCCCTGAAGCACTTCAATAATAAAAGCATGAAAAGAAAAGGAAGGGCCAGCAAATCTGACAGAGAAGAAGCAACTAGTGAGAGAGGAGAAAAAGAGAGTGAGTTTGGAAAACCAAGTAAAAAATTTTTTTCTAAATTGTACGACTAGAAGAGATAGTTTCAGCTTCGTTAAATAGTGCTGATAGACCAAGTGAGGCGACGAGTGGGAACAGACTGTTGGATTTAAAATGAGGAGGACAGTTTCTCTATCCACTTGTAGATGGATGGGCATTTGGTTTGGTTCCACATTTTTGCAATTGTGAATTGTGCTGCTATACACATGCGTGTGCAAGTATCTTTTTCGTATAATGACTTCTTTTCCTCTGGGTAGATACCCAGTAGGGGGATTGCTGGATCAAGTGGTAGTTCCACTTTTAGTTATTTAAGGAATCTCCAAACTGTTTTCCATAGTGATTGTACTAGTTTACATTCCCACCAGCAGTGTAGAAGTGTTCTCTGTTCACTGAATGCATGATGCACCAAAATCTCAAAATCACCACTAAAGAACTTACTCATATAGCAAAACACAACCTGTTCTCCAATAATCTATGGAAATAAAAAAAAACTAATAAATATAAATAAATAAATACAATGGGGAGGACATTGTAATCTTGATAAAAGCAGCTTCTATGGAGTATTGGAAAAGAAAAACCAACTGGAGTGGAATTAAGAAAAAAGGGGATAAGAACTGGAGAGTGTACAAGCAAGTCTTTCCTGGAGTTTTGAATGAGGAAACTAAAGAAATAAAAGCAAATGGTGTGTCAGAAGGAGGTAAGAAATTGAGCCAAAATAATGATTTTTTTCTTTTAAAATGAGAAAAATAATATCTGGCCTAAATGCTAATTGAAATGATCCAAAGGGGAATAAAAACTTGATGATGTAAGAAAAGGGAGAGAACTGTGATGCCGATGAGAAGAAAGGAGAATGGGGCATCCTGTCATCAGTACATGAGGAGTTGAACTGTAATGATATGCAAGGGTGCAGAGCATGTGAGGGCAGGCAAGGATAGGTAGCTGGTCATGATTAGTGACAGCCTGAAATAATCCCTTAGATGTGAATCCACTAGAGATAGGATAGGATAGGTTCAGAAAGATCAAGGCTAATAATCATGAATTTAAAGTGAGAACAATCAAGGGGCTTGTTTTCTCCACTAAGGTTTAGCTGATTAAGTGCAAAATAAATGTAGGATAAATTTTGAATTTAGATAGTATTGGCTAGTTTATCAAGTGTGCAAGAAAGTAAAATGAAGATTTTTAACACGAAGTCATAAGCCTCTTTCCTGTATTGTTGAATATCTTTAAACTTATTATTTTAAAGTTAATAAATAAATATGAACAAAATATATTGAAGTATTTTCCAATTGTTGGAATATTTGTTTTCACTCATTATATATAATATTTCAATAATTATTGAATTAAGAGCCAAAATTGAAAATCAATTGAAAAAAAATCAAAAAAATAATAAATTACAAAGAGCTTCCAAAAGAATAACTCTCTTAATTATGATCTATTGCTATATAGCAGTTCATTCTCAACATTCAGTTCGTTTAAGAAACAACAGACGTTAATTTGTTTACACTGCTACAGTTTAGGAAGGACCTGTTGGATATAGTTTATTTTGTACATGAACGTGCATTAGCTAAAGTAACCTGGCTAAAAAAATTACTTCCATAATGGTGTCACTCACATGGCTGTTGGTGCTGGTTGCTGATTGTGAGTAAAGCCGGAGATATTTGAAAGATCAAAATATATCTTAGAAATCAATATTTCTTGTGGCACATATACTCCATGGAATACTATACAGCCATAGAAAAGAATGAATTTATGTCCTTTGCAGGGACATGGATGAAGCTGGAAACCATCATTCTCAGCAAAATAACACAGAAACAGAAAACCAAACCCACATATTCTCCCTCATAGGTGGGAGATGAACAATAACACATGGACACAGGGAGGGGAACATCACACACTGGGGCCTGTCGGAGGGTGGGGGGCAAGGGGAGGTAGAGCATTAGGACAAATACCTAATGCATGGTGGGCTTAAAACCTAGATGACGGGTTAATGGGTGCAGCAAACCACCATGACACATGTATACCTATGCAACAAATCTGCACATGTATCCCAGAAATTAAAGAATAATAAAGAAAGAAAGAAAGAAATCAATATTTCTATGATGGATATAAACTTAGATTAGATTGGGAGAATTTTTATATATTTCATTATTTTTCACCCAAATTTTGTTGAAACTTATGAATTAAACTTTTTTAATAATTAAGTTTTGCTTAAAGTTTTTTGAAATTACTTTTCTATTTCTTTTAAGTTTACATTGTTCTTTGGCCAATTGATGAAAAGTTTTATTTAATTTAGTTTCATTCTACTTTGTTAATCTATAATTTTTTTGGCATTTATCAGTCTCAATTTTTGTATTTATTTATTTATTTTTTGAAATCAATAGGTACTTTCATGAGGGTATATGTGAAACATAGTCGGGACATTTTATAGACAATGAAACCAAAGCCCCCCAACAAAAGGTGGGCGAAGGATATGAACAGACACTTCTCAAAAGAAGACATTTATGCAGCCCACAAACATGAAAAAATCTCATCATCACTGTTCTTTAGAGAAATGCAAATCAAAACCACGATGAGATACCATCTCATGCCAATCAGAATGGCGATCATTAAAAAGTTAGGAAACAACAGATGCTGGAGAGGATGTGGAGAAATAGGAATGCTTTTACACTGTTGGTGGGAGTGTAAATTATTTCAACTATTGTGGAAGACAGTGTGGTGATTCCTCAGGGATCTAGAACTAGAAATACAATTTGACCCAGCAATCCCATTACTGAGCATATACCCAAATGTTAATCTATAATTTTTAAATTTAAGTTTTAAATAATTTTTAATTATTAAAATGTTTAAAACTATGCTTGTGCCTCTGGATATATTTTTGGACACACCTTAAATCACACCTAAGGTGTGTCCTAGTTGTTCACTTTTGCTATTAACTTCTATTTTGTTGATTTAAAAAATGAGAACTTTAAAATTTCTTCTTTGAGAAATACATTGAGGTTTTCTTTGTGACATAATCTAAATTCACTTTTTTTGATGAATTTTTAATGAACTCTTAAATAGTTCTTATTCTAAGTTTTAGGTTGTTAGGTTCAATACATGCCTTTAATTTAACCTAGTGATTCATCACTCAAGCATTTTCTTTTATGATATTATGCCAGTTACTTGATTGGCTACAGTTTTTAATGTGTAACAAAAATATCATGCCAGATTTATGACTGAGAACTGATGTATATAGCATTAAGGAAAAAAATGTTTATGACACTTGTTAAAGATGGTAAGGAAGAATCTAGGGGAATACAAGGGATTACTACAGTGGGGTTTTACAGTAGGGGAAACAAATTAGGCTCAATTCTGAATACCACATAGGGATTTACAGCTAAGAAGTAGGGTGAAAAGATTGGTGGATGGAAAATTACTAAGAGAGTAAGGTAATTCTCTGCTAAACTTACCTGCCAAGATTCTTGCTAAAGGTAATCAGACATCATGAAGGGGATGGTAGAAAGGAGGAAATTGTCCAGATATTAAGGTTGATTAGACTCTACAAGAACTAAGACCAAAGCCCAAGTTTGAGCTACTTGAGTGGAGGGCTTAGGGGAACTTGACTGAAGTTTGGCCAGGTACAGTATCTTTGACAACAGCATCTCATTGGTAGAAATGTAATATTTTCAGTTAAAGTAATGTCCTGTCACTATACAATTAATTGTATTTGCCAAAATGTAATCTGAATAATTGATTCACTGTAAAGCCATACAAACAACCCATAAGGCCATTCTACGATTTCAACCCAAAAGACCATTCTAAGATTTTCCTGTAAGTATAATGTTGACAAAGTATTAGCCTCTTACATTTAGAATCACTCTGTGATCTAATTCTAAATTATATATTAAGTTACTAGGTATTAAAAGTTATGTTGCTGAATCCAATTTATCTCTTCCTAATACTTAAAAAAATATTAAAATTTATAAAACCTAAAAAGAAGTTTCCATATTATTCACAGGATGTCTCTTCCTACACTCGCATCTTTAACAATGTAAGTCTTCCCATAAGAAAATGCATCTTATATATTCATGTTTTATGACCTCATCAATTGTAATCATTTTATCCACCTGGATGAAGCATGTAAATAACTATATTAATCATGTTAACAGCATTGCAGTCTGAGGGTACTTACTGAAATCACATATCCTCGCTTTTGACTTTTCTTTTTTTGCAGAATTGATCTCATGATTTATTTTACACTGCTATCATATGTTTCATTGACATATATGATTTAATGCAGTTAATATTTCAGCACAGCAATAATATTTCCTAAGGTTCTTATGGGTAAGTTAAAAAGTGTTCATGAGATCTCCATATGCAATGTAACAAACTTACAACAATATTTGACTTTCATCATTTGCATACTAAGAAAATGACTTATAACTTATTTCTATGTAACAGAGTATTTTCTCTGTGAACTTCATTAACATGGGTATTTTTCCATCTTCTTGATTTGGAATTACACTTCAAATCATCACATGGACAAATTCAGTGTGTAATATAAATAAATAATATATTTTTGCACACAAGGTTGACTAATAGCTAATTATTCTTACAGACAAGCCTCTGTAGTAGAATTTGTGAGGTTTGTAGGTGTATTATAATGCCATTCCAACAAATGTACCTCTGTAACAAGAGAATGAGCCTAGATTTTAGAGATGGTTTGCTGGGGTTCCAGAACTATTTGAAAAGTATAGGATACTTTGATTTTTTTTCTATGAAATATGTTCATATTTCAAGTTTACTATTACACTTTTATTCATAATTTTACTTCTCTTTTATTCTGACTCTAAATATAATTTTCATCTTCAATCTTGAGCAGAAAATTTTTTCCTCAAAAAGTAACTAAGTACTATATCAGAGTGAATTGTCTGTATTGCCATCTATAGGAAAATAATGCACTACAGTTAATTTCCCTAAGTAAATAAGTCATATAGAAAATATACATTTTATAAAATCCATATGGAATATTTTAATGTTATCCTTACATTCCTTTCAAAAGTATCTACACATCTTGAAGGAGAATAAACACATGCACACACATACACACACACGCAGTGTCTCAGCAAATATATGTCAGTATGTACAGTGTTATGAACTAGACCTGTGATATTAGATCTCGAATAAAATTCTGTGTTCTCCATTTACTACCTGTTCATCCTTTTGTAAGCTACTCAGTCTAAGTTTTGAAATTCTTATCTGTAAAATGAGATTTTACTTAGGACTGTTGTGAAGATTTAGAGTGATCATGTACCTAAAGGGTAGTATATTCCTGGTACATATTAAGCACTGACCATATGTTGACTACTATCTTTTTTGTGGTATCTTTTTCGTATCAATATAATTTTAAATGACAGATAATAATATGCATAAATGTATGTATGTCTGTTAAAAAGCAGTTTAAGCTGGCATATGATGGATTTCACAAGGAAATCTATACAGGCTCAAAGACTCAGAAGGAAGAAAGAATATTTAATTAATGTTTTTTGAAAAGATTCCATGAATGAATAACACCCTTCCCAGTCACTGACACAGATATCTATAACATGTTATTAATTTACAAGTTTTTATTTTTTATTGCTATAAATTATGTAAACAATTGTCTGGATGACACAGATGCATTATTATTCAACAATAATAGAATTAGTACATGTTTTTGAATAAAAAACAGATCTAATTAATGTATATGAAGTTGATAATTTATTCTTTATTAGATTTGAGTTCTTCTAGTGTGTTTGAGAAGCAAAGTACAATTGTTTTTAAAAGTCGCAGGTTAAAAAGTATGTGAAATACTTTTCAGAAAATATTTCAATTGGTTGCTGCACAGATAATAACCTACAGCATGTGGTCGTGAATTAAATGCAAAATAACATCAGGAGCCCTGCTTCAAGAAATAATTAGGCTTTCTGCAGAGTCATTCAGTAAAATTACATTATTGTGTTCAACTGAGAGGAGCTGTGTAGAATTGTATTTGTAAAATATAATTGCAGGGACAGCTGGCCTGAAAAAAGAAGAATCTTAATAATATATGTTGCTGAGATGGTTGTTTACTCCCCATTATGAAAGTGGTTGATAAGAAGAACAGTTACTGTTGCATGGGAAAGAGAAATTAATTCAGGAAAATAATGATGCAGCTTCTCATGTCATTTAACTGAATTTTAAAGTGAAATGTATTGTTAGGCATGCAAGCAGCATGCCTGGAGAATTTGTGCTCCTTGCTCCTACTCCCAAAGCCTCAAATCTGCTATGTGGCCTTTCCCAGTTGGCTTCTTTTATTTTCTTAACTTCTCCCTTGTAATGTAAACATGGGAAAGAGAAAGTGGTAGAAGAACAAAGAATAAGCATACAAAGTAGCTCCACTCCTTCTGCATAGAGCTTTAATAAGGAAATGGTGCCACACTGAGACTATATGAATAGATTGATAATAGTGTGTTCATTTAAACCAAATAAGGAACCACTATATATTGTGCCACTTTAAAGTTAATTTCTCTTTTACTTAAAGGTCTTCTGGATTTTTTTCCACTCTTTGTCAAATAGTACAATTAGTTGTATCAACATAACCTTTCAATGGTGTTATAAACTCACATGTGCTAAAATAAATGTCTTAACACCCTCATGATCATGACTTATACAGATTATCACACAAAATATGGGTGCTAGTATTTCATATACAATTCAGTCATGTAAATTAAACATAAATCAAGGGAAGACAAGGAAAAATGTTTAGCTGATTATTAACTCTGGAAAGAACCACATTTTAATGTTGAATGATTATTTAAATGCAGGTTAGTTTTTAAGTGGCTTTTCATTATTCAAATGAATATTAAGTAAATATTTGTTATAATCATCCCGCAAAACAAAAACATTGATAAATGAATATATTTATCATTTCCTGGAAACTGTAAGTTTCTATTTTTAGACAATGTCAGAATAATGTTCTCTTTAAAATTATTGGGATGACCTGTATTTTCATTTGTAAAAGCAAAGTTTGTAATTTACAGGCAAAATATCTGAAGGCCAAGTTTTACTTATTCAACAAATATATATTAAGGCTACTATGTGCCAGTCACTATTCTATACAGTAAACAAAATAGAGAAACTACTTTCAGGGAAGGGATATGCAAAAGTGAAGGTGGACATTACTCATTTAATGTCATGTCAATAGTAATAAATACAGTGAAGAGACAAAAAGCGGAGTAAGGGTATCAATGAAGGATGTGCTATTTTAAGTCGGTTAGTCAGGGAAGGCCTTTCTGAGGCGGTGACATTTGAGCAGAGTCCAGTCTCTTTATTTATTTATTTATTTATTTATTTATTTATTTACTTATTGAGAATCCTTTAATATTTTTATCATTCTGAAATTGAGGACAAACAACACTACTTGAAAACTGTAGGATATAATTGAAGCAATCCTGTTCTATTTATCACAGGAAACCAAATCAGGTCTCTCAGCTATGCACAGCTGAGGTTGACAGAAATGCTTTTATTGGCTTCATTTGTGAAGAAAACATGGATTTAAGTAAATCAGTAGGCGATATTTAGAGCCGTTTTTAATTTGTAGTATCTCATGGTCTTATGGGTCAAGAATTGAGCCAGAGCTTGGCTTCCTATTTTGTTACACATGGTTTTGACTAAGGCCATTCTGATATTCAGCAGCGCATAGGTTGGTGTAAGGGTCCAAGGCGGCTTCTCTCACACATTGAGTCCTTGGTGGGGAAGACTGAGAGACCAAGTTTGGCCAGGGGTTGTCAATCAGGGCGCTTATATGTGCAGCTCCAGTGCAGCAGTCTTCCGGTCATCAGAATTCTAACGTGGTTGTTCAGGGATGCCAGAGGGAGTACTCCTAGAGAAGAAACATGGACGCTCCCAGTCTCTTAAGGCACAGCCCTAACATCTGTCACAACATCATTTTGGCTTATGTTATTGAGTAAAGCAGTCACGGAGCTCACCCAGATGAAGAAGGGTGACATGGACTCCTTGTTTTCATGGAAGTAAAGGCAAAGAGATGGTGACCATCTTTAATTGGCCATACTATTCATATAAAAACTTACAAAACGTATTGAAATACAGTGACCAGAAAGCGAATTTGCCTAAGGTTCTTGGATGGTTCTATAGACTCTGTTACGTGTGTGTGTTTGTGTGCATAGTAAACCTAAAATTATATAGCTATCAATAGAATATGTCATTTCTCCAATTTTGTACTGTAGAACTCATAAATTAAAATCCAGCCAGAGAAACTTGTTTATTTGCATGTTCTAGGTGATAACCCAAGTCCAAAATGCAGGAAAAGCTAATTCACTGTTGGTATTTGTCTTATAGAAAGGATTTCATTCGATGGCTTATTTTTATGTCAATATTTATTTTATACAACATAGTGGCTATAATTAATAGCTTACAGTTAATATGTTATAGTCTTAAAAATTGCTAAGAGAATGTATTTTAAATGTTCTTACCACAAAACAATAAGTATGTGAGGTAATACATATGTTAATTAGCTCGATTTTGGCCATTCCACAATTTATCCATTATTCCAAACATCATGTTGTACAAAATAAATACATACAACTTTTGGTTGTCTATTTAAAAAGTATATTTATTTTAGCATCTTTTAATTCTTACATAAAGGGTATAACAGCAACTAACTACAACATAATGATCTCCTGTATGTTTAAATTCCCACTGAAAACCATTAAAACAGGTATTTGTGCAATGCCAACATTATGATGGAGATTGTTTCACCTGTCCCTATTTAACTCAAAGGCAATTTTGTGTCTCCTTGAGAATAAATTTTGAAAGCTCTGTGCTGTCAATCCAATCATTATGGCCTCTGCTTCTGATGTTTCCTTTGGCAGGTACCTTTAAGTTACAAGTGAAATATTCACCCAATCAGTTTCAGCCACAGTAGCAACAAACTCATTCTAGCATTCTCCTTAACTGTGGTTATTCATTTACTAGATCAACTTTGAAATGACAGATAATATCATTTAGAATAATTCCTACAGCCATGAAAATTCTTAATTTGGGAAACTATAAGAACTTTTAATTTGGTATCTAATAGTAGCTCTGAGGTATTATTTTAAGATAATTTTATTTTTTATGAAAAATGCTGTCTATGATATTTAAATTGCCGATATTTTACTATGACACTTTAAATGAGAACATGTAAAATTCTAGGAATGGCATTGCATCCATTGTAGCAGTTTGTTTGAATTATCCAAATTTCTGGTCTGTGTGGACAGCAAGGAACTATACATTCCAGAATTCACTTGACTTTTAACAGGAATTCTTCTTTCTGTTTATGCCAGTTTGAGGATAGCTATGTGCAACTGGATACTTACTTTTCTTTTCTTTTACCTATGTCTCCCAGACACTAGGTACGACTATGCCCTATATTAATTAGATAAGATTTCTCAATACCTAAATTCTAATTATTCTTAACATCTGCATGAGTTAGAAAACAAAAATTCTTCTTGCAGTTTTGCTCATTAAACAAATGGAAGCTACTCAGAAATTGCCAAGTGGAAATAAATTAAGAAGAAAACTACTTTCCACTCACCTTGTGCTGATCTTATGAAATAGTCTCATTCACTCTTTAAATATGTCTCTAAAGTTTGACCTTGGCCAGAAAGTTATGAGGACAGAATTACAGTCTCTTCTCTTTGAAATGGGTGGTTCTGCTGGGCAATTTTCCTTTTGGCATTCACAGTCTCAAATTAGTTGTGCACTTAATTAATAGCTACTTTAGTTCCTTTTTTGAAAGTGTAATAAAAATTATATGCCAACATTTAAATGTCTATCCATATAATCACCCAGAAATGGTTTGATATTGCTGTTGTGGGAATATCTGGGTCTAGATATTTGGGGATATCTGAAAGTTTAATTTTTTTTCTTCTTTCGAATGCTTTATTTTCTTTGCCTTTAGCATTATAGAAGCCTAACTATAAACTACTTAATAACAAATAATGTTTGTAGGAAGCACTCATACCACTGAGCAATTCACAGGCAACACTTACAGCACTGAATATTCACTTAAATTTATTAATTTTATTTTCTAGAAACCAGGTGTCCTTTTCATAGCTGTGGACTCATGAGCTTTAAAAAATAAGAACTAATGCTTCCTGAGCACTAATTCAAATCCAAGTGTTTCTCTAGCGCTTCTTTGTATATTGGGTTATTTAATCCTCATTACATTTCTACAAAAAAAGATACTGGTTTTGAAGGAGAGAGAATCATACCCATTTCTACATGGACATTCTGTCCCAGAGAAGATCACAAAGCTTTTATATGGCAGAATCAGGATTTGAAGTCAGCCTGTTTGTTTTGCCTGTTTTTTAACCGCTATATTGTTTTTGCTCTCTATATAAATTTAGGAAATTATTTGTAAAGACTCAGTGGCCTTAAGATAAGTCATGGCAGAACCTATATATTCAAAATTGCTTGGTGTGAGTCATTTGGAGTTTTCAAGTGTTCAGGCCTATGAACTCACCACCTCAGACCATGTAGAAATATCTGATTCTAACATTTTTTAGCAATTGACACATCCCTTGATCACTTTTTATATACAACTTATGATTACCACTTGGAGATACAAATATATATACATATATATACAAATGTTTGGGGGTAATATTGTCACTATTATTACATTTTAAAACATAATTTTTCTTCTAATTTTACCTTATTCTTAGGAGTGTCTAGAAAGACATAATGAGACAAATTACATTTTGGGATTTATTTTTTTTCTAAAGTAATGTTCTACTTTTGGTGACCTCAAGTAGATATCTCAGAAAGTGAGAGAGAGGGACATATTTAAAAGGCAGAAGCATTCATGTATTTTGATACACTGCCTAAGAAAAGTGAAAGTATAATGTTAAAACAGTAATTGTTTCTCTTATACATACAACTAGTCATAGTCTTTAAGTAAATTTTTACTTCGTGGATGTATCAAATATATATTCTTAGATATAATTGACACTATAATTTCAGAAGAGCTGTTTATCAGGTTCAACAAAATTCACATTCTTGAATTTTTATAATGATTTAAAAAATTATTCAGTTTTGAGAAAAGTTTTAAAATAACAAGTCTCTATAGACCATGGAAATACTTCTCAAAGAAAATAAAATAGAAATATTAAGATAAAATATTTCAGGATAGCTATTTGTTGTGACTTGGTAAGACAGAGCCTTTCTTGTGGAATTAAAAATTTAACACATCAACCAAATATGTTTGCTAACTTATAGTGTGTGGGAAATAACTCACATATTTTATTTAAATCACTATTATGCTGTATGATTTTTTTCTGCTCTGACTATTCAAGGCTTACTCTCATTAAAGTATAAATTCAAAAAATTTTATTTGAAAAACATTACTACTAGATCTCATAATATGTTTTCCTTATGATCTCCTCAGAAGTGAAGCATTTTTTCCAGATATTGTTTAGCTTTAGCGTTTGGCCAGTGAATCAATAAATATAAACGTTATAATCTATATGGATAGATTTGGTGCTAGGTATGGAAGTAAAAGAGCAAGAATTTTTGAGTCATTATGTTGGCTGTGCCTTGTGACAACGTTCCCTGAGGCTAAGACCATATGTTTTTCATCTTGAGTCTAGCACAATTTCTGACACATAGTAGGCAGTTAAAAAATATTTGCTGAATGAAAAATGACTGAATGGCTGAATGTACTTAACTGTTCCAGTTTAGCATTTAGAAGTTATTTTTAAAACTGTTAGAGTGACGAATATACTCATCGAATATGGCAGCAAATATTTTCCTTTCACAAATATCCAAGGATTTTTTGGTAGGTATGTCAGTTTCCCATTGTGCCAAAAGCTCTAGTAATTTTTATTTTATGTTATTTTTTTTAATGTAAGTACACCTTAGAAGTCTTTGGTTAAATTGCAAAAGACTTAAGTTTGCATTTTCAGTTTTTCTCTTTGTAAAAATGTTAATTTTCGTGTTGAATTTTCCTTTTGATAAAGTATCATTAATAGTTTTTATATTGTATGCCTATGATTATAAGCAGTTTTTCTTCTTCTTCCTTTTTTTTTTTTTTTTTTTTTTTTTTTTGAGACGGAGTTTTGCTCTTGTTGCCCAGGCTGGAGTGCAATGTTGCAATCTTGGCTCACCACAACCTCCACTTCCCAGGTTCAAGTGATTCTCCTGCCTCAGCCTTTCTGAGTAGCTGGGATTATAGGCATGCGCCACCATGCCCAGCTAATTTTGTATTTTTAGTAGAGACAGGGTTTCTCCATGTTGGTCAGGCTGGTCTCCAACTCCCGACCTCAGGTGATCCTCCCACCTCGGCCTCCCAAAGTGCTGGGATTACAGGTGTGAGCCACCGCGCCCGGCCAGCAGTTTTTCTTAAAACAATTATTCCTATTACATTAAGTACCACTTAGCAATTTTGAAAATTGTGCATAAACCTCACAACAATCCTAAGATATAGGTATTATGGTTATCATTCCTATTTAATTAGGTCTGGAGATGTTAAAAGAGTTTGTCCCAGTTCATTCAACTAATAGCGGGGCCAAACATGACAGATCCTAACTTGTTGCCTTTATTACGGTCTTTGGCAAAGCTACTTTTTGTTGGCATTGTAGTGTGTGTACCACATTCGTTTCTCACTGTGTGTCTGTGTGTGTGTATATTTTTCTAATATATATCAGACTATTTAGAGTCCTTACCTCAGCATGTTAAGTTCTTCAACTAAGTCTAGAATCAAAAGTGCATGGCTAAGGTGGGCATAGTGATGCACGTCTGCAGTTCCGACTACTTGGGAGGCTGAAGCGGGAGGATTGCTTGAGCCCAGGAGTTCCAGACCAGGCTGGGCAACATGGCAAAACCGTGTGTCTACAAAAAAATACAAAAATTAGGCAGGAGTAGTGGCACACGCCTGTAGTCCCAGCTTCTCAGGAGGCTGAGGAAGGAGAATGACCTGAGCCTGGGAGGTAGAGGTTGCAGTGAGCCAACTGCACTCCAGCCTGGGTGACAGAGTGAGACCCTCTCTCAAAAAAGTAAAAATTGTGTTTAAAAAGGTACATGGCTGGAAATGTCAATTTTTCAAAGTATTTTATATCAAAAATATAATTTATTTTAATGTTTTAAATATGAAATTATTTAAAAACTTTTCCACATTATTAATGGTGAAATATAAAAACCTAAAAAAAAGACAGAACTTGTTCATTTTTAAGCACCAGATCTGTTTCCCTTACAGTAATTACTTTGATTTGTCTTATTTTGTCCTCCTGTTTCCCAAAATGCTTACATAGGTGTGCCTGGTTACAAGTCAAGTTGTTTATGTTATTCTAGTTTTTCAGACAAAGAGAAGTTTCTTTTATTTTTCATACTTTTATTAATATGTCAATGTACCACTAAAAATTCTAAAGAAAGACTGAACTAGAAAACAAATCTGAACCCATTATTGTCTGCAAATGAGAAAAAAACACATGTATTTAAATTACCCGAAAAAGTGCTCATTTTGCTTCTTCAATTGGTATGATTCAGATATAGTGACGGAAGAAACTCTCTAAGAGCCATAATTGTATTTCTATTATACCATTTGGATGCTCTTAGCTGGTTGTATCTCAGGAGCCGCATCATGGCCATAGAACAGACTGTTTCCTGTGGAAAGCAGCATCACTGCAACATAGTTCTCCATAAAAAAAAAGAGACAAAGCACTGCCATGTTCACATTTTTGACATTTTCATTATTATCATAAGTTGCTTCCATTTTCAAAGTTGAACATTCATCAGCGTAATCATTATATCCAAAGCAAAAGAAATAACTATAGAACTCAAAATTTATTGTAGACATGTAACAACTGATTTAGGGGAGTCAGTATTAAACCCAATTCTATTATCATACTTTTAGTTCCCATATTTTTGGTTTATACTGTATAGATGGGCAAATAAATTGACTAATTTTATCAACATGTAGCTTATTGATTTATAAGTCAATAAATCCAAAAATTTAGATGAAAAGATATTCCTGAATGTGTATAGAAATTACAATTTCTGACTAGGCGCAGTGGCTTACGCCTGTAATCCCAGCACTTTCGAAGGCTGAGGCGGGCGGATCACGAGGTCAGGAGATGGAGACCATCCTGGCTAACACGGTGAAACCCCGTCTCTACTAAAAATACAAAAAATTAGCCGGGCGTGGTGGCTGGCGCCTGCAGTCCCAGCGACTCGGGAGGCTGAGGCAGGAGAATGGGTGCGAACCCCAGAGGAGGAGCTTGCAGTGAGCCGAGATCGCGCCACTGCCCTCCAGCCTGGGGACAGAGCGAGACTCCGTCTCAGAAAAAAAAAAGAAAAGAAAGAAATTACAATTTCTATAGTAATCCATTCACATATTCGTTGAGTAAATTAGAGAACAAATGAATAAACTGAGTCCATCCCAGCTGTTTTGGGGGGAAACCAAACCAATGAGGAAGTAAGGCCTTAGTGAAGGATCATGGATGCCTATTTCAATATTACAGGTACTGAGAGAGAGAGAATATTCTTCCTTTATTTTAACTGTTGATATTTGTTGGTAGTATAATTTGAAGATGACTGATTTAAGAGTCAGAGACCTGGATGCCTATTGATTCAGCCATGTAATGCTGTGTAACCTGTTGCCATGTATTTAACCATTTTGGGTTCAAATTTCTTCATGGAAACTGTCCAACTTTCCTTGACTTACAACTTTATGGTGATTACCAAAAGCTGTAAGACACTGTTTTTTAAAAGCCACATTATAAACTAAAGAGCCTTATAAACAGATTTTTCTTATAAATATAAAGTTGAAGATTTTCTGGAGTTTGCCTCATTTGGATAAAATCTTATCCCCCAGTAGCTTGCTCCTTTTTGAATCTCTGGAATTTTCCATGTCTACACTCAAGAATAGTGAGTGGGAAATTTCCTTGAAGGGTTTAGAGATAACAGAGATAAAGAAGGAAAGTGTGCACCTGTCATAAGATCAGATGACTAAACTAAAACCATCATTCCAGATTGCCTATGGTCTCATGTACCCAAACCGGCATCAATAATATTCTGTGTATGTGTGTGTGTTTGTGCTCATGTGTGCTTCTATGCATATTTGTCTGAATTTTTGCCTTTATAATAAATGCTTATTATCCATTCACCAAAATATGCAAATCTTTAACTCCCGAATAATCTACTACACGTAGAAACTATTCTGAGCCAATAGTGTATGTCTTAAAGAAAACTCCTCAAACAAAGAAAATAGATTTATGTTTACCCACAGGACTGAAGAGCAGGAAGACATTATACCGGAGAAATAACCACCTTGTCCAAAGAACCAGTCTTAAAACGATACACGTTTTATGTTCTCATGTAGAAATGATGGATGGTCCTCATTGTAAATGGGATCAGATGGCAATAAAAGGAAGCATATCTGATGGCTACAATATCAGGACCAATTAGATAAAATGAGACAGCAGTGCATAATGGACAGCACATATCTGTTGTTACAATACAAAGTGCTCCAAGGAGTTCAAGGACTACACAAGAAAGAGTAGGGGAATTTCACACTCATTGACTTTGCCTCTAATTGATATTTCAGCTGCAGAGATAGATAAACCTGCTTTCATGCTTAAGTAACAACACTCTCCAAAATATCTAAGTATCATGAGCAATTATGATATACAAAGAAAGCAAATGTTATAATATCCGACTTTGTTTTCCAATGGTTAATTAAAAGAATACATGCTATTTCTTTTGCTGCGAAAGTACATTCAGTCTTGAAATATAAAATCAAATTTAGCAATACAAGTGGCAAGGAACTAATTTATGAACACCACATATAGGCACTCTTTTTATCTATTAAGAAATTGAGGACGTCAATGTTTAAGTACTACTGGGCTCCAGCAGCTGTGATTGTCTGTTAGTGTAATCAGCTATCTAATTATATTGGAATGGTGCAAAATTTTTTGTGTATTTCACAGCTCAGTGATCAAGATACTCAAAATTAGACAGCACATTAGGGCTCTGATAATGAAAGTAATGTACTGTAATATTTTTGAAGGTAAGGGATTTTTTGGAAACTGATGTTAACTGATTTTAGTGTTAATCCATTTTTAGTTTCAAATATACCTATCTACTTTGCTATTGGAGAATTACAACTAAAAATAAATTAATGATCCTTTTTCAGTCAGCACATTTATTCCAACAGACTTTTCACTCTTAGTGTCTGCTTTTATAATTAGCCACAACACAATTAATAATACAATAACAAATTTTATTGTATATATGGGGGAGGGAGAGAGAGAGACTTTACTGCAATCTATATGAGATAAATACTACTATCACCTCGATTTCACAAATGAGAAACTGACACCAATAATTTAATTAACTTTTCAAAGACCAAAAGCAAGTAAATTGTGAAGACATGATTCAAATGTAGGAAGGTTTTGCTACACACTAAACTTCTACAGGAACCTGGATTTCACTGTTCATTAAAGCTCCAAATTTATATAAAGAAGAAAAATGTTGAATTGTACCCCTAAGTCTGCTTTCAAGTAAGTAATTTATCATCAAATTGTTATTTATTGTGCCTAATTTCAAAGAAGTTTTGAAATTTGATAGACTTCAAAGTCTGTTGTACTTGAGTTTGAATTCTGACCTATCCTTGTCACTTACTGGATGTGTGATTTGGGGTTAGTCACAGTTTCTTAGCCTCATTTCCTTATGTGTAAACAATAAGAAAAAATAACACTGTCCTTTCACCATTGTACGCATAATTAAGCAAAGATTAGTCTTATTATTTGCGATGTTCTTGGCAAAGAGACTGGAAAAATAGAAAAGGCCTAGTATATGGAACTATTAACATTAATATCATTGTTGCCATCATTATCACCCTCCTTTAACATGTATTCATTTAAAATAATTTGATAACTTTCCATAAGCATTTCATAAATATATAATGAATTGCTACTTTTATTGCTTTAGAGACTATAAGCCCTATCTGTTACATTGAGAAATATACTTTTAACCTGGCTTCTAAACAGTAGAATTTCATGATCCATTTGTAGAGAGGGACTAGAAACAAAGAATAAGTTATTTCTTCAGATATTTTATTTACATTAAAACTGTATATACACACAACCATCTATTCTTCAAGTGAGCTCAAAGCTGTGTAACATGTTGTTATCTATTTGAATTCAATTCAACCCCTGATCAACTTTTGTGGTTGAGCTCATTAGTTGATCTGATCCTTTGGCTCCACCATCTTCTACAATAAGAAATCTAACAGCTTCTGCAATTAACCGTGCCTAAATATATTTAAGACAAACTGACATCTAGCAAAGAAACACTTTGTCTTTCATCCATCTTTGAGGAGTGAAGACTTGTGTGCAGGTATGCCCAACTCTACTTAACACCTTTAAAGAATATAATGCTTTATATGTAAAAAATATAATGCACCATGTTGCAGAGATCCTATTTAAAACAGAATTAATATTGAGATTACATTGTAAATATAGTAACAAAAGGCTAATTTCTTCTATTATTTAAAAAGTTTTTGCACAGACTCCTTTCACTTTATTTTTTTCTTTTCTTCCTCTTTTTGTGAGGATACTTTATGTGCAAACTAGAGTCCTAAAAGTCCATTTACTTCAACAAACACTTACATAGTACCTGCTAATAATATTAGCTACTACTAGTATCTATTCTGCATTAATTATACATTTCCATTTTCAAAGGATCCAGTAAGCTAAATATTATCTCCATTTAATAAACAAGGAAACTAAGACTAAAGATATACAGTAAAAAAAGAGATAGAGCTTGCACTCAATAAAGCTTGCAATCTACTATGTTAGAAGATAGCCGTGAACACAAAGAGCTTAACACAAACCATGGCATAAGTACAAGTCATCTAAGTATGCTCAATGTACAAAAATCATTGAATGCACAGAAAGAAGAGCACATGATACAAGTTGGATAAAGCTGGGAGGAGCTGGCATTAGATGTAACTTGAAGAAGAACCAGTGAATATCTGAAAATGGGGAAAGGACTATTGAGGCAGAAGAAACAATTTGAGAAAAGGCACAAAGGTGTGAAAGTGTGTGGCATATTTGGAAATGAGTGTGTCATCTTGTGTGATTGTAGTACAGAATATTCGAGGAAGAAAACAGGTGAGACATCATGGTTTAGATCCGTTGCTCTCAAATTTTAGTACCACTCAGTAGTGACTCCCAGGTGGGCCCAAGAATTTTCACTTCTGACAAGTGCCCAGGTAACCCTAGCTCTTCTGTCTCAGAAAACACACTTAGAGAACTACTAGTTTAGAGGCATGTGAGTTGCTGATTTTCAATGTGGAACGTAAAAAGGTTTTATTGTTTGTAATTCATAAAATGAGATGTTTAGTGTTGGCCTACAATGTTAAAATCATGTGATTTAAAAGGTAATTAACTATAGGCTTGAAGGGCCTGCCAAGAAAGGACTTTTTACAATGAAGTCTGGAGTTCATTTGACAATCTAACAGGATGCTTGCTCATAGCCCTCAGGATGAAAGCCCTGTTGAAATTGACATAAGAACAGGCTGTGGCTAGGAGCAATAGTTAAAGAAACCGTTGGAACCTTAGTTGTGGTAATACAACAACAATCCCCCCAAAATGAAGACTGGGGTAACAAAGCAACATTAGGTCACATATATGAAAGAAGACACCACTTAAGAAGAGACCAAAGAACTGTCTTTGAAGTGTCTCTCTTTGAAGACTACTGCAAAAGGTCATGAATTGGTACACAGCACAAGGGTATTGAGCAGAAGCTGACAGAGGGAGTTAAAATCTACCTCCAGGCTGGGCGTGGTAGCTCATGCCTGTGATCCCAGCACTTTGGGAGGCCGAAGCAGGTGGATTACCTCAGGTCAGGAGTTTGCGACCAGCCTAGCCAACATGGTGAAACCCTGTCTTTAATAAAAATACAAAAATTAGCCAGGCATAGTGGAGCACGCCTGTAATCCCAGCTACTCAGGAGGCTGAGGCAAGAGAATCGCTTGAACCCAGGAGGCAGAGGTTGCAGTGAGTCGAGATTGTGCCACTGCACTCCAACCTGGGTGATGAGAAAGATTCTGTCTCAAAATAAATAAATAAATAAATAAATAAATAAGAAATCTACCTCTAATACTTTCACTCTCATATCTGATGCTGAAGCAGGGGTGTAGTTTTGCTGGCACAAAATAATAATTTGTCTGGACTGCACAACCCTTTCTAATTTATCTCCTCACTTCAGGAGTCTATATTTTTTCATTCAAACCTAGTAAGCCAAAGAATTGGGCAAAATTAGTTAGTTCTAAAATGTGGAGAAAAAGCAATCACCTTCATATTGATGGTACTGTAGAAGTAGGTTGCATGATCTTAAGGAAGTGGCCTAACTCTTCTGGGATATAGTTTCCTAAAACATGAATTAAAATAGTCAAAATAAGTAATTTCAAATACACTTTCATATCTGAAATCTGTCTTTTAGAATAAAGAAAAAACAATGTGAGTAATCATGAGTATTGACACAGGGAAGATCTGGGTTGAAAACCACTCACTTTCAGAATGCTCACTTATTGAATGATTTTGGGTACACTATTTAATCTTTCAAAGTTTCAGGTGACTTTATTTGCAAAAAGAGAACAATAATCCTTACTTCATAAAAACAGATAAAACTGAAGAACAAATTCCAATATAAATTTTTTTCAAGCCACTGAAGCAAAGCATTTTGCCCATTTTTTTTCGTTGTAAGGTAAATAACCCTACAGAATGAAAATCCATACCAACTTCCATTTCAAATCTTCCCTTACCCAACCCTAAAAGGTGTAAATTGTTTTAAAAAGAAAGGTAAATGAAATTGCTTTAAAAAGAAAAGTAAGTGAAATTGCTTTAAAAAGGAAGGAAAGAAGAAATGAACGATGGAAAGAGATGGAAAAAACGAAGGAAGAAGGGAGGTAGGAATGAAAAGACACGTTTTAATTCTAGAAAAGAATTACTTTTCTTTAATCCAAAATGACTAAATCAAATAATGGCAGTACAAGAATATATAGAACATATGAAAAGTTACATACTATAAAAATTACATTGTCAACAGTTCTATATGAAAAGTATGACTACAGAGGGAACAAACATTAAGCAGTACAAGAAATATTAATATTTAACAGCTATCTATATTTTTACATGTGCACTTTATAAAGAAGAAATTAATCATTAAGATGTCAAATTCTCCAGTGTCTTTAAAGGATGTGAAGCACCATACTGTTTTCTAAGAATGCAGATACAGTGTGGGTATTGAGGCTTAAAGCAAATTTTATTTGAATCTTGATTCCGGCACTTGTGTATTCCAGTAATGTGACTTTGAGCCAGGTATTTACACTCTCTCAACCTTAATTCCCTCATTTACCAAATGTAAATAATACTACCTGCTTCTCTAATGGATCTGTGCTCACTACTCAAGTGACCACATAACCAAGCATTTAAATACTTCAAGCCCAATTTCTGAGCTATCTCTGAGTGTTGTTTATTTTGGGGATTAACTGGGACAATGTATTTAAAATATCCGCATATATTAGTCTTTCAGTAAATATTAGCTTCATTAATACTAAAGAATTAACATGCAAGTGTGCAATTGACATGCAGTTAAAAATATTCCTATTTGAATACCATAATTTGAGTCATTTTAGCACCCTAGGATTTTTGAATCTATCAAATTAATCTAAAATAGCTATTTTTTTCTTCAACAACTGATTAAGGTTGAGACATAATAACAAATTAATTTTCTAGAAATTCTGTTACTTTCATGGGACAAAACAGAAAACATGATTACCTCAAGCATCACATTTTTTATAGAAGTCAACTCATATCACCAGGCACTTCTGAATGCTTATCAATTTATCTCAGAAACTAAACACAATAACACAGGTAGTACCTACCTAAAATTCAAATGAAGGAGTCAGTTATCTATGTCTGGGTCCTGAACATGGTTTTTCAGAAATTCCAAGAAGGTGGTAATACCATACCACGTATCTTTTTATCATCTCACTCTCTAAAATTCCAAATTTTAATGCTTCTTTCTTTAAGTGAAGAGCTAAGATTCCTACTATCATATTCACATACCCATGAAGGACATTGTGAAATGTAATCATTGGCTCTCCATGCTTATCCTCATTTTCAAACACGATTGTGACGAATTGCCTCCCCTGACATAGTCAATTTCATGATCTAGGTGACTTTTGCAGGCCTTGTTGGCTTCCTGTTTGAAATGAATAAAAGGCAATAACACTGCTCAGGTTACAAATGAAATGTTTTTTTATTGACATATTTTATAACTAATATGTAGGTACATTACATAGATTTCAAAATGTACAAAACAAAGTCAAAGAAGAAAATCAGTATCACCTTGTCCTACATGCATACAAGAAAGAAAAATAAATACCCTGCCATTTCCATATATCACAAATATTTTTTCTGGTAACTAAATACTTTTGTAAATAACTATTCTAATGAGTAATATATATTAACACATTCATCCTATAATTCATTTCAATAACCCAATTGTTGATGCCAATTTTTCAGTATTATAAATGTCATAACAATAAAGATATTTATAGACAAATAGATGGCAATTATGTAAAACCTTAAATAGCTTCCTAAGAAGAGAATTTCTGATCTAAAGTTAATAAAGCATTTATTTTTGGTAAGTGCTGTATTTTGTTTTTCAGGAAGTTTATACCAGGCAACAGTAAGTAACATCACTGTTTAAAATATTTCCAGTAATCTTGTTGTATACCTTAAAAAAATTCAATTTTTGTCAGTTGTAACTCAATAAAGCTGATGGAAAAAATAAAAATAGAAGACTTCTGATAAAATTTAATTTTAGTTCAATAGAAATATAATTAATGCATAGTCATTACAGAAAATTTAGAAAATACAGATGAAAATTAAAAATTTGAATAAATTTTGCCATTCACAATTAGTGGCTGTATGTTTTTTCAGCAGAGCTTATGTATATATTAAATACACATTTTTAAAAAGGTAATACAAAGTTTCAAACTCCTCTCTTGACATTGTATTGTGAGTGAGCATTTTATAATTTTTTTTTTTTTTTTTTTTTTTGAGATGGAGTCTCACTCTGTCACCACGCTGGAGTGCAGTGGCGTCATCTCGGCTCACTGCAGCCTCCGCCTCCCAGGTTCAAGCAATTTTCCTGCCTCAGCCTCCCAAGTAGCTGAGACTACAGGCGCCCACCACCACGCCTGGCTAATTTTTGTATTTTTAGTAGAGATGGGGTTTCACCATGTTGGCCAGGATGGTTTTGATCTCTTGACCTTGTGATCCGTCCGCCTTGGCTTCCCAAAGTGCTGGGATTACAGGCGTGAGCCACCGCGCCTGGCCGCATTTTCTAATTTCTGAGTCTCTTTTTCTTCTTCCTTATTTCAGAGATTGGCTACTATCGACAATGTTGCTGTCATCAGAAACTCATGGGTATCACTCCAGACATTACCTTCTTTCTTTTGTCCAGCACCAGCAGCTTACCAAGTCCTAAAAGATTCACTTGTAGAATAATACTTGTAAGTTTCAGCTCCCCTCCAATCGTATTTCCTCTCTTGTTCACTTGTATTACCACAAATACCTTTCAGCAGGTCTTTTGACCGTCAATTTAGCCATTTTATATTCCACATCCCAAGATCCTGTCAGAATTTTCTTCCCAATATTGAAATAACACCCTGTCACTCCTAGGATTATAATGACTCATTTAAGATAAAATCCTAGTTTTTCTGTATAACACTGTTCCCCTTTACTTTTTCAGCTTCATTCATCTCTTGACATTATCTCAGATGTAGCTTGCCCTGAGGCAATGCCAAACACTTGCTGTTCCTTGACTGTTTGCTGCTTTTCCATGAGTGGGTAAGTTCCATATTGGAAGCTTCATGTAGGGGCTCAGAGCTGGGGCTCTGGGTGAATACTGCATATAGTTAATTCTTAGCTGTGTCAGCTGTTGGCTGTTGTCCTTGGGCAATTCACTTAACTTTTTTTTTTTTTTTTTTTTTTTCTGAGATGATAGACTCTTGTTCTGTGGCCCTGGTTGGGCAGGTTCCAGAGATTCTCCCATCTCAGCCTCCCGAGTAGCTGGGACTACAGGTGTGCACCACCATGCCCAACTAATTTTTGTATTTTTAGTAGAGGCGGGGTTTCACTATGTTAGCCAGGCTGGTCTTAAACCCCTGGCCTCAAGTGATCCACCCACTTCGGCCTCCCAAAGTGTTAGGATTACAGGCATGAGACACCACACCCGGCCTCACTTAAATGTTATATGTAACTTACGTTTTCTCACTTGTAAAATTAGGATAATAACAGTATTTGCCTCTACAATCATTAGAAGGATTCATTGTTATTGTTATTAACTAATAACTATGTCTATTAAATAAAGGCTTTCTGTTTTGCCTGCACGTTATATTGATTAACTTGCACAGCTTACCTAACATTGAGATCTCTTCAAAACTTTTTTTTTTTCTGAAACTCAGCTGAGATGCATTCCTCTCTCCTTTTACCTTTGTCCCATCATTTTCATCCAGTGTTGAAATTGTCTGTGTTTGTAACTCCTAAAGCAGACTAAGTTGTCTGAGAGTAGAAGTTGTCTTTCTCCTCTTTGTCGCCAGCATCGAGCAGAAAGCTTAAGCTATGTCCCAAATTGTTGTGCACTGGTATCTGTTTTATGAATGAACAATATTTGATAAATGGTAATTTTGATTAAGATCTTATTCACCACTTTTCTTTTTCTGTGCAATGTTTTCAAGACCTTAGTTAAATTTAAAATATATATATATAAATATATATATATAATATATAAAGGCCTAAGCTTCACATATTAAATTAAAAACATGTAATCTAATTTTAAAGGGAGACAGGGTCAAAATTTACTTTTATCTAGTATTTTATTGTAATATTTTCATGGAGAAAACAAATAGCACATGTCATATAACAAATACAGTGCCAAGCAGGCACATTGACTGATTTTGTATGTTGTAACAATTGCAAGTAAACGCCATGAGAAGACGTGAAGAAAAAAGACATAGAACTTACTTTGCAGGATGCTTAGGGGTCTCTTTAGCTTCAGAAGACACATCCCCAAGATTCTTTAGGCACACCTGGAGATCTGTAACAATGTATAATTCAGAGAATAAGCAAATTAAAACAATGTTGCATCCACTGTTATAAAGAAGACATAAATGGAAGCGTTATGACAGGAACTTTCAGCTCAGCAATGAAATATTTTAGGATGATATTAGTCTTAATTCAAATTATAAAGACAGAGACAAACAAGGCTCTGAAAAGAGAAGGTGAAAAAAGTTAAGGGAGATGAAGAGAACACTCAAAGTCATAAAAGTAGAAATGAGATTGATATCACCAAAAAGAGGCTTTGTGGAGGACGTAAAGCAATTGGCAAATTCTTTTTCTCAGTCTGATGGCGCAACAGGAAATGAAAAAAGGTATATACTACAGAGCATGGAAGGCTTTCACTACTGAAGTATTTAAGAATGAGTGAGGTAAAAGTACTTCATAAATGAAGAAGTTACAAAATGCACTTATGCTTATAATACCACCAATGTTCCTATTAAGTTTCTAACAACAATAATAGTAAATGATAACATAATAGCATTACGACTGATGATGATGAAAAATGATGAATATTATCATTATATTAGTAATCAAGGGGAAGCAAGATGAACAGACAAATGTAGATTTTTCTAGATTATGTTATTTAAATATTTCAGGTTTACTGAACACCTGGTTGTCTAATGTGAATTATTCCAAAGAACACGCTGTTCCTTTCCTAACAAAAAAAGCTTCAAAGGCAAATAAATAATTTCCAATTCCTTTTTGGTCTCCAAGTCACTCTTTACACAAGAGGAATTTGATGAGTTAAGTGTAAATGTGTAAGAAACATGTGGATTGCATTTTGTTTAAAAACATACAAGGGTTTAAAAATTAAGGACGAAAAGTGTTTGGCATAATGCATTTTTGGTGAAGCCAAACCAGAAACATTTGAGACAGTTTCAGATTGTAGTGTGACCTTCAGCATTGCTTGTGTTTCTGGGTATTAAATGAATCTAAAAATAAACACTATCCTTAACTAGAACTGAAGCAATAAAACCTGTAGCAAGGTATGGACCTGAATGAAAAATTTTTTGAGGATTTACTGAATTTTTTTCTTTTTTCTAAAAAAAAATCTTCCAGTCTGAGAGTTCAAGCAAATGCCCACCATATGTGTCATGCTTTGTGTCTATTGCCTTATTTCTTCCTAAGGTTTCTGGTTCACATAGAAGAGGAGACATCTGAATATGTATAAGAAAAATGTCAACCCTCCCCTAGTGGTAAGATTAATTTAACTACAACTTGTACTCTTCAGTGGGTTCAAATGTGTTCTGAGCTTGAGTCATTTTTGAATGCTTTTGGTCCATACTTTGTTCTAATTTCTCCCTATGTATTTGTTGAAAAGACACTTTTGGAGAATGACATTTTGTTTCTGTCCATAGGCAAGAATTATAAAACATAAATAGCTGGGTTATGTTGAGATTTATTGGTGGGTAAGTTAAGGTGATATGCACTATAACAGGCAACTGCCACTTTAACAGCCTGTAACAAGTGGAAAAAACAAGAAAATGGAAATGCAAAATTATTGTTTTTATTTTTGTTGTGTGCTGCTGGCTTACCTGGTGCCTCTATTGAAGAATGGCATTTCAGTGGTTTTTGCTGTTCTACAAATTCTCTCAGTCATCGCACATTACCTCCATCTCCTTCATGCCGTTTTCCAAGCACAAAGCACTGTGTATTAGTCCGTTTTCACACTGCTATAAAGAACTGCCTGAGAATCTAAAACGGGAGGGGAGAGGACCCACTATCCAGGTGGGCTCTCAATCTAAATACATCACCCCTTAAAGCAAAGAATCTTTTTGGCTTTCAGGAAAAAAAAAAGTGTGGCAGAGGGTGAAGCAAGAGATATGTGACCCAAGGAAAAGTCAGAGAGATTCCAAGCATGAGCAGATTTGACACGCCCTTGCTGGCTTTGAGAAGCAGGAATCCACAGGCAAGGACCTCAGCGGCCACTGGGAGTTAACGACAGCCCCCTAACACAAGTGCAAAAAACTGGATTCTTAGAAGAGTCCAAGTGAGTTTGAAAGTTGACACTTCGGCCGGGCGCGGTGGCTCATGCCTGTAATCCCAGCACTTTGGGAGGCCGAGACGGGCGGATCACGAGGGGATCGAGGCCAACCTGGCTAACACGGGGAAACCCCATCTCTACTAAAAATACAAAAAAAAAAAAAAAAAAAAAAATTAGCTGGGCGTGGTGGTGGGCGCCTGTAGTCCCAGCTACTACGGAGGCTGAGGCAGGACAATGGCGTGAACCCGGGAGGCGGAGCTTTCAGTGAGCCGAGATCGTGCCACTGTCCTCCAGTCTGGGCGATAGAGCGAGACTCCGTCTCAAAAAAAAAAAAAAGAAAAAAGAAAAGAAAAGAAAAGTGGACACTTCCCGGTACCTCCTGATAAGAAACCAGTTTGCCAATATATTTAGTTCAGCCTTGTGAAAAAGCTGAAATCCAGAGCAGAGAAACTAGCTGAACCAACAGAACAATGGGAAAAATGTGTGCTGCTGTTTTAAGCAAATTTGTGCTAATTTCTTACAGCAGCAATAGGAAAATAATACACTCTCAAATATGTTGTTCCTGAGTTATGCCCATTGCCTCCTCAGCTCCACCTGGCATGCTACTTACCTATGGCAATAGTGTACCTTCTGTATCACCTTCCAGTCCCTCCCTAATCCACACAAACATCTTGAAAAAAATTGCATTGTGTTCCTTACAGCCAAATACTCTTAATTAATTAATGTTTGAAAAAGAGAATACCTGGGAGAATCTCTTTGGTTTGACTGGAAAGAGCAATGTATCTTTTGGATAACTTGCCGTTATATATAAGATGTTCTTGTTTGATTTATGGCTATGGACATTTAAGAACAACATTTTAAACTAGTGCATAGCAAACCTAAATATGCATATGTCACACCTAAGGTTCCTGTGAAATTGCAAATTCCGGTTCACTAGGTCTGGATTTGGGCTAAAAAGTCTTCATTTCTAGTAAGCTTTAATTGCATTGTCATTTACTTTTTGTGTGACCTTGAGTAAATTACTTCGGTGTCCAAACCTAATTTTTTTCACCTGTAAAATTGATATTGTGCATATAAATGAGAACATGGATATAAGGGAAACACTGCTTTTTATGCTTTTCTATTACTGCAACTCAGATAACACCAACAAAGCAGCCCAGAAATGCAGGGACGAGCCACGGACAAATCACTCAATTAGCAGATCTCAAGAACTGGTAGAAAGGTCTTAGGCTCTCGTTCTTTATTTAAAACTGCATTCAACACATTCAACACAGTTTTTTGTTTGTTTGTTCATTTGTTTGTTATTGGAGGCAGAGTCTTGCTCTGTCACCCAGGCTGGAGTGCAGTGGCCCAGTCTTGGCTCACTGGAACCTCCACCTCCCAGGTTCAAGTGATTTTTGTGCCTCAGTCTCCCAAGTAGTGGGGATTGTAGGCATGTGCCCCATGCCTGGCTAATTGTATCTTAATAGAGAGAAGGCTTCACCATGTTTCCCAGACTGGTCTCGAACTCCTGAGCTCAGGCAATTCACCCCCATCAGCCTTCCAAAATGCTAGGATCGCAGGCATGAGCTACCATGCCCTGCATCAACATAGTTCTTTAGAGGGACTGAGGCCCATAGCAGATGGAATTCCAGTTGTTCTCAGTGGTAACAAGCTTTCCTCTTTTCTTAGTTTACTTTCCCCACCCCTCTGCTTCTGTTTCTTGGATGCTTTCAAATAAACTACCTTTTCATAAGTCCTTTTCTCAAACTAGTTTGGCATCACAATTACTGATACTGTTACCTATTTTGAAATGTGATAAAAGGTAGAAAAGAGGGAAACATTGGCTTATGCAGTAGCTCTGATACTTGAACTTTGTGGGGGCAATGATAATTTAAAATATTGTAAAATTAGTTGACATTTAATTTGCATTGAAAACCTTGGAGAAACAGAATGACACTGGCCAGAAGACCTTCATGGAAGTTTTTAAAAGACTTTTATTTTCTATAGCTCTGGGTAGACTTTGCTGAAATTCAAGCCCAAGATTTAATAGTAAAGGTAACAAAACTGCAAAGGAGACAATGTTCAGCCTTAGTGCGTCTTTTAAGCTAAAATCATGGCCAAGATACAAAAGAAGTAAGAGACTGATATATCTGGGATAGGAATACCTGGGTTTCTGCATCCAAGGAGGCATGCATTATTGAAGAAAACACTAACGTTTTTGAGAAGTGCAGTATGGCTATCCTCTGCTGTACAGAATTGACAGAAGGAGACAGTTCCATGAGACAAAGGCCCCTAGTGTCAATGAAGCTGACAGAGTTCCGGAATAGCAGAAAACAAAGTGGTGGCGCTTAGCCATCAGAAGCAATACTAGAAGGCACAGACATATCTGTATGGCAAAAAAAGGGTTCCTTAACCTACAGAGAACTCTGGCAATGGTTAAAAGACTGTAGTGTATATCTGGAAGTGAAATAAATGTGCAGCCATCAAAGATGTTGCTTGACATGTATAAAACCAAGAAAAAACTCAAAAGGTAGTAGGCCAAGAGTTCTATCAGATTCTGCAGTAAAAATTTACTACTCCTGGCCCAGTTTTCAGATCTGAGATAGCCTCAGATAGGATCTATTGACCAAAATGAGGATAGATACTCCTGAGGAAAGACCCTTTTATGCCACCAAAAGCATATATCATAAATGTTATATCAGTCTGTCCTCAAAAGTACCTATGGTCTTGTACCAGAGTAACCGCACATTAAGGAAAACGCATAATCAAGCTCTTTCAAAGAGATGTTGAAAACTGAGTCTTATTTCATACTGAAATTAAAGTAACTCTAATTCCTTGTGTATTATGACCAGACGGTAAGTAGATTTCCGGCTTTAAATCTAGCTTATAATGAGTTTAATTTTTCCATGGAATCACCCTGTAGTTATTTCTCAAGACTCTGAATTTTAATCAAATTTAGGATCTGATAGAACCCTTACATTAGATTTCTGATTTGTAGAATAAGAGACATTAGGGTGAAATACCAAGAACAAACCTGAGATTTCCCACCCACTCCCAGTCATGATAGTAAATCAAAAGTCATGCTATATCCAAGTTGAAAGTGTGTAATCACAAGATCATAGACAATCTGATAGAATGTAAGAATGGCCTCATAAAGGTTCAGCCTAGTTGTCACTGTGGGGATGGCACCTTATTTGGTTAGGATACTGCCTTTTGTGACGTGATGTTCATATTTAAGAAATAACTATTATATGATGCCTTGTTCCTAGTACTAGAATACACAGGTGAGAGAATGAAATGTTGAAAGAAGCATCGACCACACTCACCATCCCCCCGTCCCCACAAATGACCCACTGTGGAACTTGTGTTTCTCACTGCTGCACGTTTAGACTCTGTAGATTCTAGGTCTTAAACCCCAATAGGGGAAATTTTGCTTCTAGGAAATGCAGTAAGGGTTTCTTCAAACCTGAACCTTTAGCTTTTGCTTAGTCATTTTGGACTCCTCATGCCTGTAGACCAGCACATAAATGATTTTTAAAAACAGTTACTAGATTGACAGGATGTTTAACCCTAGTTATCATGCATTTCTATGTTTGCTGCCATATAATGGAGGTGTGGAGGAGTGCACTGGGCACTGAGGGAAATCACTGTAGCCTCTCGTGGTGTTTCTATGCTCAGTGAAAAAAGAAAACAGGCATTTGCAGCAGCAACAATCTGATAAGGGGCAAGACAAAGAAGACTCAGACAACTAAGGGTTGAAGCTCTGTGCTTCTCTATCAGGCAAGCAGCTGTATGCCAGCTGTAAGGCTGGCCATGTGAAAGAAAGCTGTACAGTGGGTGGTAGAGAAGGAAGATAATGAATATCAGTTACAGCCTTGGGACTCAGACTGTAGCAGGAACTGTAGCTCGCTCTACTAAACCTATTTTAAATTCATATTTAAAGAGGTTGTGACAAGGCACGACTTCAGAGTTGTTAAAAAGTTGAACTTAATATGGAGCAGTAGCATTTCTGAGCAGTGAAAAGGGATACTATAGCAGACAACTTGTGTGTTTTGTGTCAGAGTCCCTAAGCCAACTTGCAATTTTAGCTGCATTTATGGAAAGTTCCCAGGCACTCCAGCAGCATCCCACTTTTCTTCTTTGCTTTTCTTCTTTACATTTTGTGTGGACCCTCACTCCGCACACAGGGCAGCTTGGGAGTGGGAGATGATTAACTGCCCTGGGGCACAGCCCTCAACAGTAATGGACAAGGGTCATGGTAAAGGCCCAGTTTCCTGTTCTACAGAGAAACTATTCTCAGGGTCTCCAACAGGACTGAGCCCCAGTGGCTCACAGTCATAACCCACCCTTTAATGGCATCTCTTCCTTTCAACCCCACATTCCTGGATCCTCCGATATTGCTTTCTGGGATCACATACTAAGTAAGTTACCTAAAAAAAAAACAGTCACTCTTTCTGAGAAAATCTAAATTGTGAACAGATATAAAGTGCCCTACACCGTGCTTGATAAATAATCAGTACCCAGTACATGTTCCTATCCTCCGATTTTTTTCTTTGCCATAAGATATTTATAGTTCTTTGGAGAAAATAACCAACTAAAAGATAGGTGTTATTTGTAAATATCATCATACTCTGCAAATGTACCTATAGCCAGAAATTAAGCCAGCATATTCCCATGTACAGAGGGCCAACTGATGTTTTTCATTCATATATGTCTGGAGCTTGAGCGGCAGAGTGTTGTATCACTACAATAGGAACCTGAAGAATTGGATTTTGACTCTGTTTCATTTACTTACTGGGATTTTATTTTATGTTTAAAATATTCACCAATATATTTAACGTTAGGTTCATTGTCTTCAAAATATTATAATTTCTTATAATTTCTCAGTTGAGATGAAGTCCGAGTAAGCTAATGGATACAAATATGTCTTGTAAAATGTAAGCTATCTTAATGTAAATGTACATGTCTCTACCACATGATGTCAAAGATGGTTGTTATTTGGCGAAGTGAGCCAAAATAGTATTTCCTGAAAAACGCTAAATGCATGCTAATATATGTTATTTTGTCTTTATTTTTAGGAAAAATAAAATCGGTCTTGGGGGGCTGATTCTATTTCTTGGAATTTTAGATAATTTGAAAGGTTTATGATGACAAAACTGCCTGTTAGCACATCTCAAATTTATGCACAGAATATAACCTACCTTGCTTGAGCTTAGAGCTGGTCTTAATAGTGCCTTTCTTTCTTTTGAAAACAGTTCTAAATGTTACCAAGATATTTGGCAGAAATTTTCAGCATCTAGACACAGACATGAAAGAAACAGATGAGGGATATAGCTTGTGTCTGAAAACTTATGGAGGCTCAGGAAATAAAGAACAGTTAAATTACAGTCACTTATCACTAATATCGCTGGCTGGTTATTTTTTTGGTAGTTGCAGCCCAATCATGTTGGTTTCAGTGGTAATTCACTGGTAATGAGTGAGTATATACCAAGCTCAATCTTATCTCTACATAAATATTTGAATTATCTTGTAAGAATTTTCCTAAAGATTTTACTTAATTTACTATTTGATATGGTTTGGCTCTGTGTCCCCACCCAAATCTCACCTTGAATTATAATTCCTAATGTTAGGGAGGGGTCTGGTTGGAGGCAATTGACTCATGGGGGCAGACATCTCCCTTTCTGTTCTTGTGATAGTGAGTGAGTTCTCATGAGATCTGGGTGTTTAAAGGTGTATAGCGCTTCCCCCTTTACTCTCTCTCTCTTCTGCTCTGCCATGGTAAGAGGTGCTTGCTTCCCCGTGGCCTTCTGTAATGACTGTAATTTTCCTGAGGCCTCCCAGCCATGCTTCCTGTACAGCCTACAGAACTGTGAGTCAATCAAAATCTCTTTTCCTCATAAATTACCAAGTCTCAGGTTGTTCTTTATAGCAGTATGAGAACGAGAATGGACTAATACACTACTTGAACTATTTAGTTTACTTTTCAAGAGATTATGGAACAAAGTATACTTTTTACCATTTTTGATTCACTGGTAATGAGCTCACTCATAAACTCTAGAAAGGTAAACTAAACTGTTCAAATAGTAAAGTAGAAATATCTTTAGGAAAATTGTTATAAGATAATCAAAATATTTATGTAGAGATAAGATTCCAGTTAGTATGGTGCTTCAATGATATATTGGAAAATAGGTTTGTTCAGTTATTTAGGGGAAGTGACTTTTTTTTTTCTCCTTTAAGTTTTATCTCCTTTTTAGGGAGGTTAATATAACTTGTGATATTTTTGATAACTACTCTTACTCTTCAATATAATATTCTTTATAAGCTTTCAGCCTATTAAATTTTTTAATTGAATGATAATTTGGATAGCAATCATTCAGAATATTTTTCTATTCATAAACATTTTTCCTCTTGGTTTTAAGTTTGCTTGGTTGTCAGTTACTTCTCAAGGCTGTCATAATTTGGAATGGAATAGAGATTGCTAACTCAATCTTAGCTGGCAATCCTCTTTTATATCAGTGACATGACAAAACAAAACTTTCAGCTTGCTTCATCAGACGGTTTTTCTTCTATCACTACTTCCCCAATAGTTATGTTAACAAACAGTTATATAAACAAACTTTATCCATTTGTTGCTTCTTTTCAGGAATACTGGTAGTTGATGAAAACAATGAGAGAAATGCCTGCTTCTTTGCGTACACCATAATCTTTCCAAGAGCACCAAACTGAATGCTATGTGTTTTTGAATGTATCAGTCTAACAGTCAAACCTGGAATAAAACTTTTATTCGAGGTGAAGGCAGTTAAAGCTCAAACTTTGGGAACTATAAAATTCCAAATTCAAGGTGACTTTTCTCTAATTGATTTCATTTAAAACAGAACCACTTATTTCAAGAAAATGAACTTGAATAAAATTATAAATAGGTGAGAGTATGAGTAGGCATGCTATGGTTAATCGATGAGAAACGTAGTCTTTTTATCAGACTAGACATGCTCAGTGAATAAATATGATGAATAGTTAGAACCTTTCATAAAATTTCTGAAGAAATAATAGATATTTTAATATATTATTCCATATATATTAGTTTCAAAGACTCTAAGAAAAATCCTAAGATCATAGACTGTTAGAACAGAGGGTATTTTAGGGAGCATTCAATTCCATCCTCTGTCCTTAGATCCTCCTTCTTGCCCAGGAAAAGGAATGTAGCATTAAGGTTAAACACGCAGAATCTGGAGCCAAACAACCTTAGTTTTAGTCTCGGCTGTGACCAAGTTACCTAATGTCTCCACCTCTCAGTTTCCCACCTGTGCAAGGAGAAGGATAATAGGAGCACCTAATTACAGGGCTGTTGAAGAACTGAGTGGCTGAATACATGGTAGATATTAGAAGAAATTGACACACCCTAATAACAATAAGTGTGTGTGTGTGTGTGTGTGTGTGTTTCTGCAGTGATGTTTTATTGAGAACCTCCTACATGCAATCATTGACCAGGTACTAGAAATGCAAAGAAAACTTCTCGTGTTTTCTGTCCTCAGGATGCTGAAAAACTTGAGGAGATGGACACCACAATGGTGTGAATGGGCAGATTTCCCTGAAACGATATTTACAGATGAGATGATATTTTATCCAGATCTTGAAGTTTAAGTAAAAGCTTGCTAATATGCCATTGCTGCTACTGCTGTTGTTGCCATTGATGATGATGATATTGATCATGACAATAAATAATGAATTAATTATATAATTATTAGTTAATTGCTAAAATTTATTGGACACTTACTATTGGCTAATTTCTAATAACAAAATGTGTTATTTTGTTTAATGCTGAGAAATATCCCATGAGTCAAGTTTCATTTTTATCTTTATTCTGGAAGACATGAAACTGAGGCCTTGAGAGATTATGCTACTCTTGAAGACATGAAACTGAGGCCTTGAGAGATTATGCTACTCTTGAAGACATGAAACTGAGGCCTTGAGAGATTATGAAATTTTCCCAAGGTTACTCAAGGAGTAGATGGAAGAGCTGGAAAGTAAGCACAGGCAGAAATCCATTTTAAGTAATGGGACAAGCACTGGAGAGCATACCTAAAAAATGATGCATTGTGATGAATGGAAAAAAATGTTCAAAGCAGCTCAAGCACTGAGTGTGCACAGGTGATGGCAGCTGATGATGAACAACCTTCAATACTCTGCTAAAAGGGTGAACATAATATAGTAGGACCTAATGGAAAAGAGAAGCTTTTGAAAGAGAGAAATAAGAATGATTGCTACCATTCGTTAAGAATTTATATCTACTCATAATCTCAATTGCCTGTCCCAATAGCATGTTCTACACATAATAGAATCCTTGGAAGTTTAGAGGTTAATCAGTTTCCTAGGAATTTTGAAAAGATTACTCGGGAGGCAGTATGCTTGAGAGTAATTTCTTAATTGAAGGGGAGGATGAAAGGGAAGAAATGATGAAGTCAAGAATGACTGTGGTTTCTGGAGTAGGGCATTATGGAATAAATTATAACAATAAATGAGATTTATTGGAGAGTTTGAGAGGCAGTGGAGGAAATACAAAATTAAGATTTTGCACAAACACTTTTCACTGATTATTGGATTTCCTAGTGGTAGATGTTTTTAGATGAGCAGTTAATATATGCATCTGAACAGGAAAGAGAAGGTAGATAATAATGGCAATAATAGAAATGATTTGAAAAGCATTAAGGAATTTTCCTTTTACCTTTCTGAGTATATAACCATTATGCTGGTTGATCTGAGGTCCAGTGATGTGGGAATCAGTGGTGGGTGAGAAGATGAAAATGTTTCAGAAGAAATGTAGAGAAAGAAGATGATAATAGTTATATCAATAATGATTTACAGCAAGACAGTGATTGTAAGTTCCAACATCACAGAGAAAAATAAAGATTACTTTAACATCTTTAATTCTCAGTTTATATATGAAGGGCTAAACTAGATGTTTCCCGAAAGTTAGAAAAGGCAACCATTCTCTGAGGTTAGAAGAGAAAGGAAAGTGATAATGTGATACATAAAAACACTTCACACTGACTTGATGTTTGGTCAGAGAATGGAGTTGGGGAGAGAGGAAACTATTTGACTTATGTCTCAGTATTCCCACTCTGGATTTGACCTGAGGATGGGGAAAGTCTATCAGATAATTAGGGGAGAGTAGAAAGTTACAGGAACTTGTGACTTCAATTGAAATAATTTGGGAGGATCCACTATGCACTGCGCCCTGCACTAACATGAGGCAGCCAGTTTAGTAGACAAGGTGGAGTGGCGTGGGAAAAGAGGAGCACAGTGGGCACCCTCTAGCTCCTGTCATTCTTTGATGGCAGGGAGACCATGGAGGAGGTCACCAGATCTGTGAGCAGCCTCCCGAAGTGGCATAAGTCACACTCTTGTCAAGGCCAGAGAGATGAACGGAAGAGAACTGTATATCTTTGCCAGCTAAAACTTGGGTAAGCTGAGCTAACCAGGTGGGAGAGGGCTATGCTTCTGGAAGGACTTGATTACAGCCCTAAGTTTAAAACCTCAAACTTTAGTTTAGGAAGCATGTACGAGGCCCAACTACAAAGTGGACAAGAGTGACATTAAAAATATCAGCAAGTGCATATCCAGCAAAGAACCAAAGGTCGGAGGAGTCCTCCCCATTGTACCTCTCACGAAATTAAAATAATACAAAACTAACAGCCACCACAAAGACATGTGAACATTCCCTTTTCTCTGTCTGAAAAGCTTAACTTCATAGCAGGTGAAGTAGGAGGAGAATATCTGAACCTAAATACTGCTAAAAGAGACAGCTTATTTAGTTTCAAATTAGATACAACTAAAAGTTAATACTTTTCTCCTTACCAAGGAGTGAAGATTTCTAGGAAGACAGGCATAGTTATGGATTGGATAAAAGAGGTTTTATTTCCTCTGTGACCAGAATGAGATTGGGAAAGAATAATGAGAGAGAATAGAGGTATTTCAAACTTAGAGATTCCTTTCCAGTTGTGGGAAGAGTTTCAGAAGAAATCTGAAAAAGTTTAATTAATTTACCCAATGGTACAGCAAGTGAATGCGCTGAAATTTTTAGTTTGAGTTCATTTCTTGACTGTGCATCACCTCATGGCCACTTCCCATGGGAGGAGCCTGAGGATGATACCAAGCACTTCCCATAGTGCTTATGAGGCTTTAAAGAAAAGAATTTCCCAGTTGGCTTCTGGAAGTACTGCGCTAGATGGGTGGAAGGAAAGCTCTGTAGAATGTTACGAAGCAAATGTTAACCCTCTCCATAAAAATGGTACCAAAAAACCCAACATAGTTTATTAGCAAAATCTGGATAGATAGAATCCTTTTTAAAAACCCAATTTTATTTTTTACTTGCCTAAAATCAAAAAGGTTTTATATAATAGTTTGGGGGTCATATTTACCATTATTTTGCTTTCCAAAACAGGTTTGGATTTATCAGATGTGGTCTTTGCTGCTTTGGGATACAACATTTTCAAATTGTATTGTTTGGATTAAATCTAAATGAATCACAAATATATATGTAAGGTAAAAATATCAAGATTCTGGTAACTAGTGTATCAACTGGTATATTGATATTAATAGCTCTCATATTAATAATTACTCTGACTTTTAGTAGCCATAAGGCTTACCAACAGTTGAAGTACTTCTGTGATGTTCTTGGACAGCCGTCAACATTACCAACTCATTCCCAACTCAATTGACACAATGGAGAAAGTCAGACCCTACTTAGCCCCTACTTTTACCGATTCTTAGTACAGAACTAAATCTGTACCCTGTGCCACAAGAGTGTGTGTGAGACCAACCTCATATTTTCTACTTATAAGCTCTTTCTTTTGCCTTTTGTCTACCTTTCCATTAGTGCCTCTTCTTTTTACTTTCAAAGTTGTAACGGTTAAACTACTTTCTTGTTCTAGCTCTGAGAACTGCATTGTATTTCACCCTTTTGTTGAAAAGGGAAATTGACTTTAAATGAAAGGCAAACAGATACTACTCAGTCATGATAAATGGTGAAAATTAAGCCCACAGAACTTTTATCTTTAAGCATATTTTTACCCTGACATCTTGAAAATATTATATGATGCAACTATTTCCACAAGTATTTTAAAACTGTTTTTCTGTTCCAAATAGGACCTCAAATTATTGCCATCATCATCTTTCCATGGACTCCTACTCTGCATAAGGTGCTCTAAAGACATTGTACCTACTGAAAAGATATTGTACATGACTAAGATCAAAGGATCTTTCTCACTGAGAGGCTAAGAGTCTATTTAGGGAAATTGTAGAAGCACAGAAAAATTATAATCCCAGGCAAGATTTATTTACCATGTGGGTTATAAGATCAGAAAGTAATGAATGCTATTCATAGAGTAGAAAATGGCTTTGAAGAGTCTTAAAAGATGAGTAAGATTGAGGCAAAGGAAGTCAGTGTATCACAGCACCTTCAACAGCAAGTGTGTGGTGCGTGCCTGTGTGGAGTTGGGAAGGCACATGGCAAGCCTGGGAAACAATAGTAGGTCATTTGGGCCACAGTGAGGAATTTTTATATAGAATAATTTTTCTCACTAGTAAAAACTAGAAAGAGTTCTGAAGGAAGAGAAAAGAACTCCCAAGCATCAACAGAGATACAATATAAATAATGGCTGCGAGATGAATATTCTTGTAAACAAAGATTTTTGTATGTCTTTTTTTCCTCTTCCTTTTTAATGGGGACTTAATGTTCCAAGAATCCACTTGACTTTGGCAAGCTCTACCAGACACCAAGTGATGGCATCTTTAATTTGTTTACATGAAACAGAAAAATAGAAAATAAAAATAAATAAATAAAACCTAGAATGATTTTCACTTGAAAAAGCCAGAAACTGAGAAGTGAGTGGGTGCTGTATCCACTGTGAAATTGATGCTGGTATCTCTAGAAGGATCCTATCTCTGCTGTACAGGTTAGTTTTGTCGTGTTTCATAAAATGTTCCAGTCCTGTGACATATTGGACTCTTTGTTCTTTTCTCCTTCCCTTCAAAGGTTAAAACAAGCAGGGGAGGTTGGGTGATGATCATAACAGAAAGAATGTGGGCGTAGGAGGTGTGAGGAAATCAGTGCCTGGGGCCTGAGTTGGTTCTTCCCTGAAATGATTGAAAAGCACAGTGTGGCTTGATGACCAGAATGAACAGCAAAGACTTTGAGTAGAATCTGCAGTCTGGGCCCATGGGAAGAGTGTTCTGCAGTGATGAGTCCAGCCATCACTCACTCACATTTGCCAAAACAACCAGCCGTAAGAAGGATGCCCATCTCCCCCCAGGCCCTGCTTGTAGCTTGGATGTAGTGTTGCCTGTTGCTAATGAACCACTAGGATTGCCTCAAACACACCCTGACAGCTGCAGAGTTTTCGGTAACAGCCCTAATTCCACTTTCTCTTCCATCTGTCTACAGATGGTTTAAATTTGACCCCTTTAAAAAAAAAGTATCCTATTAAGAGGCAATTACTGTGCTTGTAGATTTCCCATAAAAAATGACAGAATTGTAATTTGCAAGAGAGTCTGGTAATTGTGGATTATGTTGAGAGTTTGATACTCATTCTGGACATGGAGGTTTTGACACTATTTGGGGCTGGATTGCTAATATTCTATTTGGAATAATTCTGTCAATCATAACGGCATAGATAATAGTCAGAAAGTTCAGCCATAAGCACAAAAAGAAGTCAGTCCTTTCAAAACCATTAGCACTGATTTTATTTTTATTTTTCAAAATATCTTTCAACTACAACAGGATGCTACAACACCAGAATGTTTCTGTTTATTTTGTGCCATCTGGGTTTCCATGATTAATTATACAATTCTTCTTTCTACAAGAACTTTCTTCTGAAAATTGCAAAGCAGTTTCAAGATAGTACTTCAATATTCATTATACTTTACGTATTATCTCAGTGTGAATGTCAGAACCAAGCTAATTTAGGAGAAATCAAAATGTAAATAGGTTTCTAGAATATTTCAAAGAATTACAAATCTTAGAATCTTTGCAGTCTTAAAGTTTGCTTGTCCAAATCTCTCCTTTGCTAGGGGCAGGGAGGATCACCTTGCCCTGAGTGACCAATTTTGCCTCCCAGTGAGCCAGAAGGAAATGCCAGTCCTACTGATGCCCAGTTTAGTACTATGCACTTTTGACACCTAAGTGAATAAATCTTTCTTCTAAAATGAGTCTGTGCTTTATAATGACCGAATTTCTCTCTAAAGATTTCTGAAATAGAAGGATTTTCATTTTAACATATCAAACCAATACTTTAAAGCACGTGCTTTGTGCACTATGTTGCAGAGACTACAAAGAAAAGATACAGTCCCTGTCTCAAGATGCATATTATTGTCTTGGAAAATTACCTTGAGGAATCCAGGCCTTCGAATGTGAAAAGGTATTTAATATTGGGAGGTTGTGCATGACAGAAAGTGAATGGTACAGTTGATATGGAAGTGAGTAAGGCTTCTCCTTGACTTTCAGCAGGTGCTCTGCAAACACTTGTTGAGTTGCATTGAGCTGTATTCACTTGGAGAGCAGCTTCTCTATGGGAAAAACAATGGGTTTGATCAACAGTGTTAACTACTAATTTTTAGTAAAAATTCTGTAGGTGGGGCTGAGTTGTGGATATTTATTTATATCTATTTCAATGTACAGTGTGACTAAAAAGTGCTACGCTATGTGTTTATTCTAAAAAATTATGTTGAACATGATTATATTAATATGGGGGGAAATATTTTTTAAAATAATTTTCTAAGTCTTTACCAGTAGGTTTCTAATTTGTGACGGCTGATTTATGTGTTAATTTGGCTAGGCCATGGTACCCAGGTATTTGGTCAAACACCAGTCTAGATGTTTTTATGAAGTATTTATTTAGATAACATTAACATTTAAATCAGTATTCGATGAGCAAAGCAAATTACTCTCACAATGCAGTTGGGCCTCATCCACTCAGTTGAAGGCCTTGAAAGAAAAAAAGGCTAATATCCCTTAAGGAAAAGGAAATTCTATTAGCAATCTGCCTTAGCACTCATATTGCAACATCAACTTTTCCACGGGTATCTAGCCTCTCTCCCTACTCTGAAGATTTTGGACTTACAGCCTCCATAATCACCTGAGCCAATTCCTTAAATCTCTCTTTTGTGAATGTGTGCATGTGTGTATCTTTAGAAATATAAAATCCCATAATACCATATATACAGCAGGTTCTTCAATAACATCCTTGCAAACATGCAAATGGACTGTGTGCTGCAGAAGAATTACAAACACACACCACGAACAACATGTGGTTGTAATGTATATGTAGAGTTTATTGGGAAAACATGCATATATAGAGTTTACTGGAGAAAATTCAAACTAAAGAAGTAGTATAGCACACGCTGTCTTCCAAGCTCATTATTCTACAACTTAAGCAGGGTATAGATGGTCTGAATGCACCCTGGCCATGGTTTCACCAGGAGGGGTCTGCCAGGATGAGAAGCTAGAAGAAAAACTAAGAACATGCCAAGACAGTGAATAAGCCTGGAGCCTGCACTGCATTACATATTTTTTGGTTAACCTATGAGGGGCTAGGGAATACCTAGTTTCACAAAGTAACAAAAAATATTTTAAGATATCTCTGAGCCCAGGTAGGATGATACAGAGAATGCATACAAATCAGGTGGGTCCGGAAAGCTATGCATGCTAGGAATGCAGACATCAAAGATCTTTTCTCTCTGTAGGCCATTACACCAAGTGAGCCAGCTCCCTGCCAAGATACCAATAAAGAGGAGAAAATGAGCCTCTAGAGCCATGTAGACTTGTTTCCCATCAGGGTCTTAAATATGAGTGACAAGAGTCACTTCCACTTTCTGACTTAGTTCCCATACTTGTATATTCTAACTATGGAAAAAATACAACTGCATATTAGTTGCTATTTCGAAGCAAGTTATGCATCTTGTGTGACAGCAAATCCAACCTTGGAGGGTGTTGTCTCCTAGGTGGCCCCCAAACTGAATCTTCAGCCATTCCACTAGTCTACTAGATCAGCTAGTACATAGATATGAATTAATTGCCAATCTTTTATGTTTCTAGGTTAGAAGCAATGCTGTGTGGGATACCATAACTTGTAAGTAAGGCATTCTATAATTGCTTGGATGATAGTACTAGAAGCTAGATGCATTGATAAGTCAAATCCAATTTTGAACATATATCTATTTATATTAAAAAATTTTGCTCACCAAGACTTGTTTCTCCTTTTGAGTGAGATATTGTGCATATTGCAACACTTGTCTTTCACACTAAAAGGAATGCACCTATATGCCCTTAGAAACTTCTCTAAAGGCAGAAGCCTGAAATTTCATTTTATCTCTTACTCTGTACACACAAATGACTTCCTAATCATTTAGGATATTCTTTCTATTCCCCCTAACCAGATTCAATCAGCATCTAAGTCATGGACAAATGTGATGTTCTGTGAAAGGTACTAATCAAGGTCCTGAGTATGTATAAGCATATTACATAAGGTATGAACACTCCCATACCTTTTATAATATAGAAGCATATCATATACTGTGTTGATACCTCATATACTATGTTTATACATACAATACACTGATAGCTCTGACAAGAGAAAATGAGCTGCTCCTGGTCAACCTTTCAAATTGATATGGAGAAGAAGAAAAAAGCATTTTTCAAGCCAGATTAATAGATGTGTACCAAAATCTAAAGCCTTGTTTGCTTTATTGTACTCAGAATACCTATGTGGAATAGCAGTTGCAATTGGAGTAACCACCTGAGTTTAAGACAGCCCTCAGTCATTCTTTATGACTCCTTATGCCTTTTTCCTGGAAGTAAACTTGTTGTGGCCCTCCAGGGATGAGGCTTTGCTTTTCATTTACTGTGTAAGTACAGATGGCACTTCCAGGTGCTAACGCTTGGGACTTCTTATCATAATGGACAATGCTGGGGTTCTGTTAGTTTCCTAATGTGCTTTACCCAACTATGCTATTAGGAGCTGGGAAAGTTTCCTAATGTGCTTTACCCAACTATGCTATTAGGAACTGGAAAAATACCCAAAGGAGAATCCTGGACCCAAAAGGACCATTTTCAGATAGACTTGGCCCAAAACTTTATTCATCAGCCAATTTCCATAAGTCCCAGAAGACTATAGTGGCACTTCAGGTGCTCAGGGATGAGTGTCAACTCAGAGCCCGTGTCTAGAATTTTCCCTTTCTCCAGTGCGAAGTCATAGGTGAAATGGCCATCTACTCATTCAGGCTATGCTTAGAGGAAGATTTATAATCTGTATACATGAGGATGTTGCAAGACCTTCCCCAAGGGGGCCTGGTCTCTCCTTCAATTAAGCAATCCAGGTTTATAGACTAGTTTAGGTGGAGGAATTGGAGGAGACGCCATGACTTCTTACTGCAGTGACTCAAATAAGACCTGTGCTCCCTATATATAGTGATTCTCTATAATAAAAATCAAGTAATATTTTATGCCTATTTATTTTGTCCCTAGGTCCCGGTAATCAATTATCCATGACTCAGGTCCCTCAAGTTTAAAACATTCTGGATGGCAGTCCACCTTTACAACCAATCATGGTAATTGAGCCACCCTTATCTCTGATGGTTAAGTACTGCCACCTGGCCTCTGTCACTCTGGAATCCCACAATTTCCATTAAAATCATGTAGACTACTTCACAAGTGGCAACTCCCATCATCAACCCCTATTTCCAGTTGAAATTCAGAACCAAGTTTTCAAAAATGCTGGTATTTCCCTCATGAAGCACTTCTCAATGCCCTGGTGATATAAGTGTTTTTTTGTAACTTTCAGATAAAATTTTCAGAGGAAGAGAAGGCAAATTGTCCATAATTATTTTACTCTAAATTTATCATGTTTGTATATCTGTTGGACTCCTTGCTCTAAATAATTACAGGAAAGTTTTCGCATCTTGACCTCTTTAGACATAGTCCTTTGTGGAATCCATGCTTTAGGCAGTCAACTAAGTGAACTATTTCCAGATGATCAAGTTAATACATTAAATCATGAATCCAATAGATATAGCCAACCTAACTCTATATTTCATTTTCTTCCTTTCACATGCTTAGGATTCATTTATATATGTGCTCTTTAAATTTCAATTAATCGATATGGGCAAGTTTTTGCAATTCCTGGTGGTCTATATGCTGTCTTCTTCCAAGATAACTATTGATTCTACCCTGGTCTTACTGGAATCTGATTCCAGTTTTGGATCTATAAACAATGAAGCGTGATGTGTGTGAATTTCAAAAGAAGGCTAGTTTCCTCAGGAAAATGAAAAGAGGGAGAGGTGTTTCTACTGGGAAATCAGTTTTGATATTGAATTATGGAACTTATTTCATTGTGGAAGTCCAGTGTCCAGCTTTATCCGTGAACAAACAGGTTTCTGTCCATTTCTAAGAGAATCATTGCTTTCTCACTAACCCCTGAATATTAACAGAAGAAATTTGGCAAAGTTATCTGACCAACTTGCTTCAAAATTCTCCAAACTACACCACAAGACGTTAGTCTTGACTCTCAGCCATGCTGTCCTGTATGTATAATGGATAAAAATAATTCACTGAAAGCTGTCGTCAAGTACTCTGGTTTTCTACCTGTGTTCGAGCTGAAACTTTAAAGTCTTGCATTGGCTTTCTTTTTTTGGAAACCTTGAAGTGTTGTCTCAAATACTTTATCAAGCTCTACAATACTTGTAATCATTGTTACTGCCATAGTGGCAGAGTACAGCAGATTACTTAATTTCTTAGAGCCTTGATAATCCAGGTAGTTGTGATGCCTCTGCATACCATGGATTACTAAAATTCTCTCTCTGCCTTCATGCGGCTCATTCCTACTTTCATGCTCTAACATAAAATCCTTTCTTGAGGATTTGTTTCCTGGGATCACTCTTTATGGACAAAATGGTATATGCCATATTTCAACCAGGTAAATAGAAACCACTCTGAGTTCTTAAACAGCAAATTTGAAGCAGGAAATTGGTTATGTAGTGATAGAAGAGCTATGGAGATGGTCAAACAAACTAGAGATTAGCAACATCAGGAAGCCGCTCCCACCCATAGGCGCAAAGAGGAGAAGCATTCTAAAAGGAGCCCAGACACTAGGGTACCCAGCAGTAGCTGGGAGTGTGTCAGCAGCTGAGGCCTTAGATGAGTCATAGTCACTGCAGGAGACACAGCTGCTGCCAGAGATGCTGTTCAAAGCAGAGTAGGAGACAGAGAAATATCCCGGCTTCTCCTTGTACGCGGTCTCACCCTGCAATCTCCTGCCAGGGCCAGAGCTCAATCCGCTGGTGATACTACATGGACACTGTACATGGTACATTGTACATGGGACAATCTACACGGGACATTGGAAAGTCTAGGAAGGGATCAGTCTTGGGAAAACAGTTTCAGTACCTGCAAGGAAACTAATGTTTCCCTTTTCAGAACAGAGTGGTTTATCAAGGAAGAGAAACTATGTCTTCCTCCACCTCGGAATGGACTGCTCTGGCTGTAATTTGTATCCACCCTTGCGCAGTTAGGGGGCCTCGGGCTTGATGTGATCAATCTATTTACAGTAAAGCTATGATGAGGGTAAAAACTGATGAAGTATGTGTTAGGGCATTTGCTGAGAAAGACGTACTCATGAGAAATGAGGCAAGTCAAATTGACTAATATGGAAACATTATTGATAGAAGAGAATGTGATAGAGATCCATACACATGAAACAGTCAGATCAAGGAGGTTGAGGGTGTTTTTAGGGCACAGAGACTGTATTCATTTAACTTGCTTTGTCTACATGCTGGATGGCATCATGAGCAGGTGGCAAATGCCTTCAAATTATCACGATAAACTGTTCTTACTAATGAAAGTGTGAATGACTGTAGGTAATTACATGAAATTCAGTCATGAGATTAAGCCGTCAGCAAGTGCAGGAAAATTATATTGAAATTTAGTCATTTATTAGTGTCCCAGAAGAATCTATAGACGCCAACATGGATCGTTGAAATTAAGCTGGACACATAACAAAGATTTTGTTTTGTAAAATGCAGCAGAGCTGATTGAGCTGGATAACCTGTTATGTCTTTAATGATATATGTCTGTAACTTTGTCTACTGTGCTGCCTGTAATTAGTAATAGGAATGCTGTGAATGTTTTTTCTTAATTCTACATTTCTATTTTCCACCACTGAATAATTCAAACCAGCACATGAAACATATGGGATGAGCAAAAAGTCTAAATTGTGCACAGGTTTGCATATTGGCTCCTTGAAAGAAAAACTTAAAAACACAATTCCAGGATGTCAAATTCCTAAGAGAATCATGTCTTTCTTGCTATTTCTTTTCTCTCTTTTTTTTAAAACTTCAGATTACATAAATGCCAATGGCATTTGTTGCCGAGATTGTTTGGAATTTTTCTTTGTTCCACTCTGAACAACATTGTCATTATTGAATTTTTACAGCTCCAACTTCCATTAATATCTGAAGAAGTTGTTAAATAATCTTTTCCAATTAGATTATTCTTTCCAAACTATTCTAGCTCCAGGAAAATATGAATGATGATGTCTAAATAAGGTACGGTGTCATATTTAAAGAAAATACATGTACAAAAACTTTTAGAACTAGAGGAAGCCTTAAAGATTGTCTAGTTGTATTGTTCCTATTTTATAGAGAAGAAAACACATCAAAGAAATTTAGTTATTTTTTTTCTAGGAGCACACGGGTTGTTAGTGACAAAAGTAGGTCAGGAATAGATTGTTTTTCAGATAATCTACGAAAGCATTCTTTAGGTAACTCTTCATTATTCAGTAAGATTCCATTACTTTAACATGTGATGTAGTTCTGGTTCATGATCATGCATTGTTGCAAACAACATATAGTTTTATTATTAAGAACAACAAGACTGCTTTATCCAGAGGATAACTCATTCCTCATAATTCTCGGCATCAGGTTATTTGCACACAAATTCTTCAGTTCAGAGTCATCTTACAGACTTTTTCCTTGTTTGTCTGCTTAAAATTTTTTCCAAACATTTTTAACTTTCCCTTCTGTCTCTCTCAGTCAACCAGGTCTTGTTACATCTTAGTTATTCAGCATGTAACTCTCTTATCATCTTACGGTTTTGTTTGTTTGTTTGAGGCAGGGTCTTGCCCTGTCACCTAGGCTGGAGTGCAGTGGTACGATCTCGGCTCACTTGGACCTCAGCCTCCCGAGCTCAAGTAATCCTTCCACTTCAGCCTCCCAAGTAGCTGGGGTTATAGGCATGCACCACCACACCTGGCTACTTTTTGTATTTTTTTGTAGAGATATAGAGACAAGGTTTCGTCATTTTGTCCAGGTTGGCCTCAAACTCCTGATCACAAGTGATCTGCCCGCCTTGGCCTCCCAGAGTGCTGGGATTACAGGTGTGAGCCACCACACCCCACCTTATTATCTTTGAATTTTCAGTTTAATGTACTGCAACAGATAGAAACCAGAAATTAAAAGTGCAAAGCCACAATCAAATGCCTTTCTAAATAGAACTTCCTTTTTTATCGTGGGAGACATGCTTAGGTGACATGTGCATAGGGGATTTGCCGTGAGGCTAACCAGCTAAAGCATCCAGGTCTCACTTGCACAGGCCCTTTCCCAGGTCTTGGGATGAATCTAGAGCTCATGTTGACATATGTTTTTGTAATTTTCTCAAAAATTAGCTGTTTTTAAGCACTATTGTTTAAGAACACTGTCTCCTTCACTCACATACACTGTCTTCTCCATCACATGTTCCTCTTATGGGATGGGAGGGATAAAGCTAAGACAAGGTTGGGTTGGTCAACACATACAACTGAGATTTAGTGGATATATTTATGCCATTTTCAAATACTTCTATGTACAATTAAGTAGTCATTCCCTGGTGTATAAATGGCTTCTAGGAATCCTTCAACCCCATCCATTGCAATGTTTGAAATGGGCCTGAGATGACCTCTCTCTATGAACATATCCTATCAGTGTTCTATCAGCAAGCACAAGGGTTTAGTGAAAAAGATAAAAAACAGGTTTAAAATGTGCAGAGGATTAAAACTAGTCATTAGAAATGCAGTGCATCACATATGCATCTTTAAGCAAGTAATTAATGAAAATATACATTTTTTTCTGAATTTTGTGTTCTATGGCATTTATTTGCTTTTCAAAATTTGTCCATTGTGATTTCTCATTTTCAGTCTTCACTTATGTACATAACTTGGTATTCATTTTGTATTCTTTTTCTTAAAAGGTCATCCTCCCCCCAGCTTTCATAAGTCTCAGGCCCCACAAATCCTGGATCCAGGTGATTAAGTTTCCAAAGCTAATCCTTTTAGACCTCAGAGGGAAAGCCTGTTCCTGGCTCGCTTTAGCAGCTGAAGTTTAGCAGGGCTGGGGTAACAAAGACCTAGTAGAACAATCAAGAAATAAAAACAGGTAAAAATCTTTTCTGGGACATGCAATAAAAAGTTCCACATCAGAGAAGCTGAATTTTTTTTGACAAGTCTAAGAGAATTGTCATGGTGCCAGGGAGCACGGGCAAGTTTGGAAGCCTCACGGGTCCAAAAGTACAGCAGAGAGCAAGGCGCAGTGGTTGCATCTAAAAATATTTCCATGAAAAAGCTGGCATTTCTGAGACTTGCTTTTTATGAATGTGCACTACCTGATCAGAGAGAGTGGGTTAGCCTATTACAAATAGTCAATACAGACACCATATTCACTGTCAACATTGACAAGGGAAATGGATGAAACATCCATATGAATTCAAATCAGGACTTCTAGGGATTGAAATCACTACTTTGTTTTACTTCTATTAGTATTTTTACCACGTATAGTTGACCCTATAGAAAGTCTAAATAAAGAGAAAAAAAAGATACACACACACTCACACATTCACACACACACACTCACACACACACACTCACACAAGTTCTGGGGGTAGGATGATTTCTCCTGCTTTATTTTCATGAGTTTAGAGAAAGAAGGAAATGGGGATTATAGTTCATAGCAATCTGAATTTTGATGCAGAAATTGGACTAGATTGTCCAATTACTTATCATGATGTGTCAGTCTCATAATGCAATTTTAAGAAAGTAAGACAGTAGTGCAGAGAGTACAGCTAGTTTGTGGTATAAGCGGTTTAAAAACCAGGCTTTCGGTTACCTGCAGTACGATCTCTAGACTTCTGCCTTACTTATATTTTGTATGTGAATGTGAGCAAACACTAGGCACTCAATATTAATCATATAGTAGATTGAGATGGAGCTTGGTGTAGTGGAAAATACATGAGCTATGAAATTACACAACTGGACTTTTAATCCTGATTCTGCTGTGTCATATTATTTAAAATCCCTGCAACTCAGTTTCTCATCTCTAATGTGAAAATAAGGAAACTCGCCTTGAAAAGTTGTTCTGAGGATTCCAAGAGGTGACTTTTGTAAAGTTCCTGGTTATAGATGCCTAGTAAATTTGAGCCAGTACTAATTGATGCATAAAATTCTAAGCTTCCTGGGAAGTCTAGTACTTGACAGGCACTTACACATTATCCCATCTAATCTGCATATCTATCCTATAATGTAGGTATTACCATCTCCTTTTTACTAATGAGGAAGGGTACATTTCCCATGTCAAACAACTGGCAAGTGGGGAGTAGGAGGATGATAGAATCTTATAGCCTCTCAGCTTTCTGACACAGAAGCTGCAGATTAAGACAAGTGTTTTGAAATGATTTATTCTATTCATGTTTGTTAAAGTCTTGCCCAAACACATACTCTAAGTGTGAGAAATGAGGGTACTTCATTAAAAAAATTTTTCAGGACTAAAATGTAATTTTGATTTTTTTTCTAGCAGACAAAACAAGTGCTGAACACCTAAAGAGATTGGGGAGTTGACAGTTTCAGATGAAAAATAAGATGTCAACATCAAGAAGCTATAATTCTTCCAATCCGGTATAAGATTTGAGGATAAGCTGAGTAAAGAAATAATTATATTCCTTGAGATCAGAAGTATATGTCAGATGAATTTATTCTGTATCCCCAAGTGGCAAATAATGTTCTACAATTCCAAAGTCTCTCATAGCTCTCATTCATGAAAGCCACATTACTCTCCCTCACTCTTCCAAAGTATCCTATCCTTCCTGGCCATTTTTAGCTTCTCCTACTGTCTCTTTTTATCCCAGTTGGCTATGAGATTATAAAATCTTCTCACAGCAAATACATTCAGATGTGACAATAGCAAAAATTTGGGGGTGGTATGGAGTTCTGAGTTTCCTGTTTGGCTAAATCTGGGTTTGGATCCTGGCTCTGTCACTCACAGCTGGGTGCCTATATTAGTCAGAGTTATCTACAGGAGAAGAACTAATAGGAGATTTTATATATCTATATATCTATATCTATATCTATATCTATATATCTATATATATATATATATCCCAACACACAGACTCAAATGTTAATCTCCTTTGGCAACACCTCACAGACACACCCAGGATCAATACTTTGCATTTTTCAATCCATTCAAGTTGACACTCAGTATTAACATCACAAGTCCACCCCTTGTCGAATTGAACCCATACACATCTCCTGAAATCATACATAACTTCAAATAAAGACAATAATAAGGTCATAATTACACCTAACATACTACAACTCTCCTTCATACAACCAGAAATGCAACAATCCCTAATCCAAATGCTATTACATTAAGTTAACACACATAAATGCTGACATGAAGTCATTAAATCTTACGTCACATGATAAAGGAAAAAGGGAATAAAATGAAGATATTTTCTTAGTGCAAGTGTATACTTGCACAAACATATTTCTAACAAAAGGAGAAGGAAATACTCATGACAATTACAGTCCCCATTTCTGCAGCTGGTCACATGGTCGTAGCTGATATTGATGACTACCTTGTTCTGCTACCCATTCTGTATTCCCTTTGCCTTCAGCAAGCATCTTGGCAGGTCGTGGTTTTTTCCCCTGGTGGAGTTACCCAACCGTCAGTTCTTGACTTCTGTGCACTCACAGGCTCAACATCATGTGGAAGCTGCCAAGGTTTAAGCCACAGCCCAGCCTCTATGTTGGGCCCTTTCAGCCACCACTAGAGCAGCTGGGATGCACCAAGACCTTAGGCTGCACACAGCACAGGGACCCTGGGCCCAGCCCACAAAACCATGTTTTCCCCCTAAGCCTCCTGAGATGGGAGGGACTGCCATGAAGACCTCTGATATGCCCTGGAGACATTTTCCCCATTGGCTTGGGGATTAACTTTCAGCTCCTTAGTATTTATGCAAATTTCTGCAGCCGGCTTGAATTTCGCCTCAGAAAATTGATTTTCCTTTTCTATCACATTGTCAGGCTGCAAATTTTCTGAACTTTTATGCTCTGCTTCCCTAATAAAACGGAATGCCTTTAACAGCACACAAGTAACCTCTTGAATGCTTTGCTGCTTAGAAATTTATTCCACCAGATACTCTAAATCATCTCTCTCAAGGTCAAAGTTCCACAGATCTCTAGGGCAGGGCAAAATTCCTCGTCTTTTTGCTGAGACATAACAAGAGTCACCTTTGCTCCAGTACCCAACAAGTTCCTCCTCTCCATCTGAGACCATCTCGTCTTGGATTTCATTGTCCATATCACTATCAGCCTTTTGATCAAAGCTAGTCAACAAATCTCTAGGAAGTTCCAAACTTTCCCATATTTTCCTGTCTTCTTCTGACCCCTCCAAACTGTTCCAACCTCTGCCTGTTACCCATTTCCAAAGTTGCTTCCACATTATTGGGTATCTTTTCAGCAGTGCCCCCACTCTACTGGTACCAATTTACTGTATTAGCCCATTTTCGTGCTGCTGATTTCATACCCGAGACTGGGCAATTTACAAAAGAAAGAGGTTTAATGAACTTACAGTTCCACATGATTGGGGAGGCCTCACAATCATGGTGGAAGGCAAGGAAGAGCAAGTTACATATTACATGGATGGCAGCATACAAAGAGATAGCTTGTGCAAGGAAACTCCCCTTTGTAAAACTATCAGATCTTGTGAGACTCATTCACTATCACAAGAACAGCACTGGGTCCCTTCCACAATTCTTGGTAATTATAGGAGCTACAAGATGAAATTTGAGTGGGTGCTCAGGGCCAAATTATATCAGTGCCCTTCAGAATGAACTTAACTGATGATTTCCTCAATTACTGAAAAGTTAGATTAATTAAAGAGCAACAACAATATTTACTTAGTGATAAGTAAATTAAATACTTAATTCTAGTAACAACTCTGTGAAGTAGTTTCCTTTAATATCTTCATTTGATGGCTGGGCTCAGTGGCTCACGCTTGTAGTCCCAGCACTTTGGGAGGCTAAGGCAGGCAGATCACAAGGTCAGGAGTTCGAGACGAGTCTGGCCAGTGAAACCCAGTCTCTACTAGAAATACAAAAATTAGCTGGGCATGGTGGCAGGCACCTGTAATCCCAGCTACTTGGGAGGCTGAGGCAGGAGAATCCCTTGAATTCAGGAGGCAGAAGTTGCGGTGAGCCGAGATCCAGCCACTGCACTCTAGCCTGGGTGACAGAGCTAGACTCCCGCTCAAAAAAAAAAAAAAAAAAAAAATCTTCATTTTACATACAGATGACCACACTGTGACTTAAAGAGGTGAAGAAAATTATCCAAAATATACAGCTTCTAAGTAGCATTGCTGAAACTCAACCCCCATTTTTATATTGCTAACAGCTTCTCAAATAATGCTATCTGCATATTGCTATTTGTGAGAATCACTTGAGGTGAATTCATGTAATACTCATGATAGATCAATGACTTTCATTAAATATTGGTTCCTATTTCTTTGTATTTATATAGCACTTTATTTTTCCCAAATCAGTTTAGATTTATTTCACTTGATCTTCCTTGGACAGATAAACAGAAATATAAGATTAAATAATATCAACAAATCACCAGTGGAAATGGTCCTAGGATGTGGGCCTTCTCTCTTCATATTTGGTACCTTCTTTCCTTCAAACCTTCAATTCTTCAAGATACCATAAGAAGAAACTTTGAATTTTAACTTTTCTTGTGTCCTCCCTCCATTTTCGGGCTCTGAGGAAAGGCATATGAAAATAGGGCATATGCTTATTTTCATAAAAGGATGAGTGCCTTGATGTTACAGAACCTGATAGCACACACTTAAAATGATTATTTTGCCATCTTTGGAATCATCATGGCTGGAGGGCCACTCACAACAGGACTTTTCCTCTTCTTGCAATGATAAGCCTTAATGGAATCTGGCCTGCAGAGTGTCTGGGCTGTGTGTGAGCCTGATGTCAGATCAAGTCCAAGCAAGTTCCCCGAAGCTCAGGCTTTACAACATCGTGTAACTCAGAAACATTCCATCAAGCCACCACCCACCTTTTCCAGTGGGAATCTACTAAAATGATTTTCTTGGAAGCAGTGTGGAAGTAGGGGGAAGGGTGTTAAATTTGTGCTTTTGGAGTGGATTGTAGATGGGTGAGTGGGTGGAGAAAAGAGCGGGGGGGGGGGCGGGAATTAAAAGCAAAGATGGAAAAAATAACCACACTGCCACCAAAATATTCTGCTCAAGGATGAGGGAGTTCACCCTACAGCTGTTAGCGCTGTTCAGCATATTTTGCATATTTATATATACCAAGTATTTCCAAACAGCCTTGTGTTTGTTTTAAAATCCCACACGGAGATGTCTGGTAAAGCTGTCACTGCAGAAACTTCATGGTGAAGTTTGTAAGACTACTTTCAAAATTCTTTATATGCATCATAAACTGAGCAGAAGAGCTATTGTCATTAACCACATTATAGAGAAATCTAAACTAATCTGCCTACCCATCAGACAACACTCAGAACAAAGCACCCATGTTCTAAGACAAAGAAAGAACCTCGTTGATTGAAGCCAATTTTTTTTATTGTTGGTGTAATTTGTTTAACACAAAATGGCACATAGCATGATATCATGTCACCCATTGATCCTTGATTAGTCCTGAAGTTATCAAAGTATGATTTTTCTTTATTTCTGTTGACTCTAATCTTTGACTTAACGATATTTTCCCAGACTTACTGAGTTATAATTGACACATAAAAGTTATATATATTTAAGGTATACGATATGATGATTTGATATAGGTAAACATTGTGTAATCATTATCACAATCAAATTAATTAATACAACCATAACTAGAAGTATTTTTTGTAAGAAAAATGATAACACTGGACAGATTTTTCATGTAGCCATTTTCTTTTGGAAACATAAAATACCACAAAACCATACATAGCTCATTTGAAAAAGATTCTTAAGCTTTCAACAGAAGGAATAGGGGAGTTTAAAGCTATATTTTCCTTTTAGCAAGATCCACAAGAAAGGATAGAGTGTCATGCTTAAAGGGGAACAGATTTTGTATTTTTTGGCAAGATATTAAATCCTCTGTTGCTATATTTGGCTCTCTGCAAATAGTCTCTTGTACAAGTGCAAAGCAAAGATCAATGCTGATGTTCTTCATTCAGTCACAGCCAAACTTGGTATGGAAAGTAAAACAGTTGTGCTTGAGTGTTGTTTCGAACAAAGTCTTGCAGCTCATTTATTGATCAGCAGCATTCCAGAGTATGGATACCTTCTTTACACATTAAATCTATCAAAACATGTTTGCTTTTCCATAACAGTTTTCCACTGCTTAACTGATAGCAGATGGAGTGATTCAATCTGGACAAAAGTGTTAAAGCTTTACCACGTCAATGTGGTCATATTTAGCTATTTAGTCAAATGTGTATAAGCAGGTCAAATAAGATGCTTGGAGACTTAGGACATCGCAAGATGGGTCTAAGTTCCCAAAAAAGGAAGCAAAACAATTAAATCCTACTTGGTTGTCCCCAGAGAAAACACACTTCAGCTAGGAAGAATCTGCACTAGATGACCTGTTCTCCACCCCCTAGACTGCTCATCTTACATAAGTAACACATAACCCTTTGGATTCTGAAGCACTATAATAACTACATGAAACATTTGAAATAGTGACAGGAATTTTCTTTACATGCAATTATTTAATGAATGAAGATAAACCCCCACACAAATGCCAACGCAAACATTATGACTTGCTACTCCCAGTGAAATAGTCCTTCTCGATTACAAGAGTGATAGAAAATGATGGAAGTCCAATACTAATTGTTGTAGGTAGAATAATGGCTCCAAGTCCTAATCCCCAGAACCATTGAATATGTTACTGTACATGGAAAAAGGGCCTTTAAAGATGTAATTAAGAACCTTGAGCATGGCGCAATGGCTTATGCCTGTAATCCCAACACTTTGGGAGGCCAAGGCAGGCAGATCACGAGGTCAGGAGACGGAGACCATCCTGGCCAACATGGTGAAATCCCGTCTCTACTAAAATACAAAATATTAGCCTTGTGTGGTAGCACGCATCTGTAGTCCCAGCTACTCGAGAGGCTGAGGCAGGGGAATCCTTTGAACCCGGGAGGTGGAGGTTGGAGTGAGCCGAGATCGCGCCACTGCACTCCAGCCTGACGACAGAGCAAGACTCCATCAAAACAAAACAAAACAAAACAAAACAAAAAAACAAAACAGAACAAAAACCTTGAGATGAAGAGATTATTCTGGATTACACAGATGCAGCTATTGTAATCACATGAGTCCTTAAATATGTAAGGGAGAGGAAGAAGAGGAAGTCAGTGATGTCATGTGAGAAGGTCTTGACCAGGTTGCTGGATTTGAAGATGGAAGGAAACTAAGCAAAGGACTCTAGAAGCAGGGAACAGCAAGATTCTCTCTTGGAAGCATCCAGGAAATGCCTCCTACATTCTGTAGCCCACCAAGACTAAGATCTTTGCTGAATGTCTGACTGACAGAGCTGTAAGATAATAAATTTGTGTTGTTTTAGGCCGTTATCGTTGTAGTAATGTAGTAATATTTTACAGCAGTTCTAAAAATCTCATTTTGACACCACATTCTAAATATGGTAGACAGTTAAAAAGCCTGCGCCAAATTATTTCATCTGTAATGCTGGAAAGTCTATTATTTAAATGCTGATTTTCAGACTTTAGTACTTTCACATTAAAGATACGTGTAATAAGAAAATTGAAGGCCCACTTAGAGAAACTCTAGCTTTCTTCAGAATACAAGGTCTTGGAATTCTCTTTTCAATGTTAATGAATCGTAGAAAAGTTTTTGTTTGTTTTTTCATACTACTTATGGCAGAGTCCCTGTCAACAAATGTAAAAACAATAAAATACACCTTGGTCAACCAATATCCTTAGAAGCATTGTATTATAAAATTCTCAAGACTCTTGCTGTTATGTAATTAATATACCCCATTTCATTTTCTTTTCCATTATAAACATGTATTTTATAATCTATTCCTTGCTGTAACATATAGACTTCTTGGCCCTAGAAATTAACTTCTTAATTAATAACACCTAAGATGTTGTAATTTCCAAAATATTTATAAGATGCTTAATTGAATAAGGAGGAAACAAAAAGAGCTTTAAATTCTCAAGAAATGCAGACCAAATCCAAATGCTATGTTAAAATACAAACATTCAATTCACATTAAATTATTTATTGAACAAATTGAAGATAATGACATATGTTTTTATTACAAAGTCTTCCATCATCTTATATCATTGACACATATTATGAGACCTGCATTTGAAGAGTGAATAGAAATAAGAAAATGTTTTCCCAACCCCACAAAAACAGAAAAAAATATATAATTTTATAATTATCTTATAAAGCCAAAAGTTTTATGAATTATACTTTTTTTATTAGTTAAAAATGACAGCATAACTAAGGTTAATTTTTATTTCTGGAAACACAAAATTAAGGTAGCACAACTTCTTGTAGAACTAACAAGTCTGAAAGTTCATGGTATTTCAATGCAGTAAAATAATATTTCTATTGTTAGTTTTCAGTTTACCTAATCAAGTGACAAATATAAAATTCACTACACTGTATTTTTGTTGACAAAAGCATTTCACCTTACCTAGATTTATATAATAAAAACAAATTGTATCCATCTTCCCTTTAAATATATGTACTTCAAAGTGATACAAAGAATTCACATGAAAACCTTTCCCTATGTTTTATCTCCTGAAAAAAAAAATGTATGGAATAGTATTTTTAAATCAGATATAATATCCAATATTATACATATCCTAAGAAATTAAATCAATTGTGTAAATAATCATTATTAACTTTTGCTCTAGCCACGGCATAGAAAGAAATGTACATCTCTATTAATATAAAGTGATATCAATAGGAAAGTTCACATCTTATGCATATACCAAAAAAACTAATTAAAGTATGTTGCATTTTAAAAGAATTATTCTTATGCCAAATTTAGTAGTCTAGAAATTGTTTTTTTTTTTAAAAAAACAAATTGATGATTACTTATCCTTTTCTAAAAGGTGTCTGTTTGCTTATACAATGGAATTGGTAAAAGTACACTTATTTATAATAGAATTTCTTGGAACTTAAAAAGGAGATTCAGAAAAACTTATTGGATCAAATTAAATTGACTAGAACTTCAAGAGAATACTACTTTGACCAATACTTTAAAACTATAAAAGTATTTTTAAACAAAAAAGCACAATAGACAATAAAAGAAATAGAAAAGTTGAGATACTTTAACAATAATGACGATTTCTGTAGGTTGTAAAAGTGTACATGGTGCAATTCCCAGAGAGCACTACAAGATTCAAAAGAAAAAAAAAACCTGCTAAAAAATTCTAAATGTCTGTGCTGTGACCAATCTCCATGACCAAGTTACCATGAAAAGTAACATTTTGAAGTTATTGAGACTGAGGTTTCCTTATGGACTCCACCCATGCCCCCACTTGCCAGAGCCATTCACTTTTTTATAGGTTATATGTTTGTTTTCAACATTCGTTTTTGAATGGATGTTGAAAGTTAGGCTAAAATTTTTACCTAATTTTTCTATAATGATTTTAATAACAGTTTCAATGCTTTAATAATAGATTTAAAGGGCACTTTGGCCTTTAAATATTTTCAGAGAATAAACTGTAATTTCTCTCTCAAACAAGCCTTTCTTATTCTGAAAGATGTCTTTTATCTTACAGGAAAGAAAAAAAATGAGTTTCTAGGAGCCTCTCCATTAAACTGGCAGGCTGATTTCATTTCTGATCCCATACAGTTTCTGCTGTCTTTCCCTTGGCTGCAAAGGTGATCAATCAGGAATCCAAACTGCCATCAATACCCCTTTGTAACTGCAATGGCTCAAGTGAACTCCTTCCGTCTTCAATAACTGACACAGTGTCAACATCTGCTTCCAATAAGATTGTTTCTTTTTTTCCTTGAGTAGAGTAAATCTGCTGACTGAGATCGTAAATGGTTGTGTTTTTCCCCCTTTTAATGCGGAAGATTTTTTCCACCATATTTTCCAACTTTCCTTCAAGTCAAGTAAAAATAAAAAAAAATTGGATAACTTCAAAAGAAATGTTCTTATCCTAGGTGCCAAGGAAGTTTGATATATAACTAAAAATATAAACTATGGTGAATGAATGACACTGTCCTCATAATTTTGGACACAGTAATTTAAATAAAATTTTGGAACATGTAGGAAAACTGAATTGGACCTACATGCCACTTTAAGGTTAATTTATTTTTCCTTCAGAAATGACATACTAAAAAGTCAGCTAATTAAGAAACGTACATTTATCTCCTATACCAGGTAGAAGGAACAGTTAGTAGGAGAAAAAGATTCTCTTTGCAGTAATTTCTTACAGAAAAACAATCATGTATCTATTTGATTGCTGCAGAAACGGATATGGATGTGAAGAGAAGAGACCTTTGGGAGCTCAATTTAATGAACTACTTACTCAACTGATAGGCATCTGTAGTAGCTGTTATTTATTGAACATCTAATATGAGCTACATGATTGATCGTGTGTGTGTGTGTCTGTGTGTGTGTGTGTGTGTATGTGATTTCCAACTTCCAGAGCCTGCCTGTTAGGTATTATTCCATTTTACTCATGAGATAAATAAATGAAGCCCCAAACCACACATAAACTTTTGGCTAAACTAGAATTTAGAGAATGGCCTAACAGCCGAGTTCTTTTCCATTAATTCATTCTGCTTTCTATTTATCCCTCATTCAAAACTCTAACATATATACTTTCCTTTTTCCACCACTTAACGCCACTGCCCCCATCGGCTTAATTCAGCAAACACTATTTAAAGAAGGGACACTCAGTAAGGAATAGAATACAGGTTCTTGAAACAGTTTCTGATTTCCACTTTAAATTATAAATACAACATTAAACCAGATAGCAAACTCAAAAGCTAGATAGGGTGACATATTCTGCAAATCTTAGAATAGGAATGGGCAAATACTTTTTGTATAATGAATAACAAGCTTCTCAAAGGCAACTTTCATGTCAGTGCTTAGAATTTGGGTTTTTTTTTTAAAGTCTTATAAAGTTAAAGAAATAAATCCCTCAATTATTTGCAATCCACTCCTCATTTTGCAAATTTTAGAGCAATCTTAGCCATTTTTGCTTAACAAAATAATATAAATACTCTTAAGAAGAAAGAAAAAGGAGAGCAAATAGAGGGGAAAGTTAAGAGAGGGTGCTTAACTTTCTTAAGAAGACACATTGATTTCTCAAAAGTTTAGAGGCTCTTTCAAATTAATAATGAGAGACAAAATAATCTGTTAGGTTCCTGATTTGTCAACATTATGTTGTTTCTTAGCTCCCGATGGTTTATTGGTGGAAGCATAGATTCTATTTAAAATAAACGAGACAATTTTCTAGGGTCTACTTCACAGATATTTAGAAAGCTTGAATAAAATCTGATTTGTAAAATCAGACAAAAGTCACCTTTGTCTAAAGGTGGAGTGGTTTTAATAAAATTGTGGAGGCAGATAGTAGCCCTCAATAAAACAGTTCGGAAGCCTCTAAGTCCAACAGCATCATTTTGATGTGAAAAAAGAAGAGCCAGAGAATGACAGGATTTTAAACTTGGAATGAATTCAGAATATTATGCTAAATTACAACCCATCCTCTTTTAGGACTTCTAACAGCAATATGGTCCTAGAAGACAATTATAGAGACATGCTCATTCTCTTTCTATGTATATTTTTGATCCACTCCCTGGGTGGCAGTGTACCCCAAACACCTAGGTCCTGTTTTCTTTTTCCTTTTGAGACAGGATCTTGCTCTGTTGCCCAAGCTGGAGTACAGTGGTGCAATCACAGCTCACTGCAAGCTGCAAACTCAAACTCCCAGGCTCAAACGTTCCTCCGGACTCAGCCTCCAGAGTAGCTGGGACAACAGGTGTGCCCCACAATGCCCAGGTAATTTTTCAGAAATTTTTTGTAGGGATAGGGTCTCCCTATGTTGCCTAGGCTGATCTTGAACTCCTGGGCTCAAGCAATCCTCCCGAGCCTCTGCCTCCTATAATACTAGGATTACAGGCATGAGCTGCTGTGCCCAGCCTGGGTCCTGTTTTCAAAGAGAGAGCTCACTTACAAATCTTTCCTGTGTACAGCAGAAACCAGGTTCCCAACATTTCTCAGTTCCTCAGAGCCAATAAACTTTTTGTCTGACAGTTACCGGGAGAACACAGAGCAAAGTCTAAATTCAGGGTGAAGACATCTAATTAATGCCCTTCAATTAAATTTGGTGGAAAATAAGAAATGGAGCTAGGAATAACTACTTTCCTTTTCCTCTTCATTGGGAAAATCCAACTGAATGATCTGAATGAGTTTAACACTACTTTCAAATAAATTACAAAGGAAGTTAATGTATTCCGAAGGTGGATGTGGATGAGGCAAATAACCCTGTCAGTCATCACACAGGGACTGTTGAATACTTGCCTTTGAAAACTCAGAAGGACACAAGGCAAATCCAGATTTATAAATTCACTAAATTTTGTGCTCCATGTATTTGGGCAAATTATAAATGAAACAATCATATCAAATCAAATTATGGACCAAAGTATAGAAAATTTAACCTGGCTACTCCCAGGAAATATAAGTTCATATTATTAGTGAGTGGAAGGTATCTTAAATTTGGACCCCACAATGGTAAAAATGTGCATATTGTGTAAAAGAGAGTCTAGGTAAGAAACAGCAAAGTGCGGAGTGATGAGAGTACAAAAGAGTATATAGATCTGAAGCTCAAAAGACGGATAGGATATAAATGAATACATAAATTACAGCCAAGGAAAATATTTGAAAATTATCTATGAGAACTCTGCCTAGCTGAACATGTCATGTTCATGTCTAAAAAGTTCGCATATATGATACGAACAATTAAAGATAGAAAGTGGCATTTCACTGAACATACTATTTTATGTGGGTGGAGAGAAAAATGGGAGAAATTTGAAAAAACCTCTTTATAAAGCTAAAAAACTTCTCTAATACACTAACTTTTTTACATGACATCTCTGGAAGCAGTTAATGGAAGAAATGAACTTTGCCTTTGAAGTCCAGCAGTATCAATAACTGTTACTTTCATAATCTTAATCTTCTCCTAGCAGTGTCTTAATGATAATTTAAACTTTATTTAGATCCTGAGAGCTATATCAAGTTAAATCCTCAAATTTTTAATTTTTAGCCCAATTTAAATTGTATATAACCTCTGGTTTTATTTTTAAATTGTGGCATAAATTTAAATCCTAATATACACTTTATTTTGCCCTAAATTTCTTTCTAAAAAGGAATTAAATCAAGTAAAGCCAGATTTAAACAAACAAAAAAAGAGACTTGTTAAGTTCTGTGTTGAAACTATTATATATAGAACTGTTTGTTTGTTTGTTTGTTTGTTTGTTTAGCTTACAGGGATAGGTGGCATTATAAGAAAGAGCTCGGGCTTTGTAATTTCTCTAGTACCTTCCCAGATATTGTTCCTTCAAATGCCCTTCAGGAAAAACAAATCCCACTTAAAATATGACTTTTTAAATTGCCATGAATGAATAATTAAAAACAAGTAAAATAAGTCACTGGCACTCATAGGTGGCATGGTTAAATGCATTTTTTTCCTTGTAGTTGTATATAACCTCTGGTTCCATTTATCAAATTTGGATGGGCTAGAAAGAGAATTAGTCTCCTCTAGGCAAACTCTTCATTTGATTGAAAGTTTATGCCAACTTTCTTATTAGTCAACCTCCAAGTTATTCTTTGGGAGAAATCAAAGCAATAAAATATCATTTCTTTAGCACAGTCATTAAAAAAAAACTTTTCAAGCTATACATATAATTCAAAACTAATTGAGCTAGCATGGAATTAAATCTTTACTGAGATTCAATGTAAAAACAATACTGCATTGGTTTGACTACGGTATAGCTACTTTTGTAAGAAGGAAAAAAACAAAACATTTGAGGTAACCTAGAAAGCACAGACAGAGCATATAATAGACATCTTAGAGATAAGCATTTTAAACATTTTTGCCAGTGCTTCTCTGAGAGCAAGTTCTTTAAACAGAACTCAACAATTTTTACAATTTTAAAAAAAATACATCCCTCAAAAATAGCCCATCAATGCTAAACCAAACTTTTTGTATTTCTACAAAAATAGATGCACATAGAGCTACAAACTTGTATTCCTGAAAGAATGAACATTTTAATGTGTGGTTCATCCTTTCCTGACAAGGTGGTTGGCTAAAAAAAAAAATCAAAATGAAACAAAAACTTAGCTATATATTGATAAAAGCAAGATAACAAAAGGAGAGAGTTGCACAGTTGGCAAAGGCTCAGATGAGGAAATAAACAAATAAAAATGCTTTTCTTCAATGTCTGGGACCCACTTTGCTTTCTCAAGAAAGGCCGAAAACCAGTCAACTGCGTGACACTTTGTCTTCTCCTTCTATGCCTTTCGTGTCCTATTGCTGAATGGAAAAACCCGACAGTATCTTTTCCCAGTGGGCCCTTGGATTTATGCTGCAACTTAACTCACTAAGATTGTGTGTTTCAGTACCACGGTGATTCCTTACTCTTGTCTTGATGCTGTAGACCTGGAACAAATGACAATGGGGAAAAAATAAAGAACATTAATACATATGGTACCAAAAATAAGCATAATCTGCAATACATTGGATATAGAAACCAAAATGATAATCCAGGCAACTGTGAGTTCTGACCTGAAGACATCATGATCTCTAAGCAAATTCTGTGCTGGAGCTCACAATTTTCAAAAAATCAACTAACACAGTATGTGACAAAAACACAAGACTAGGACAGTGCTATTTATACAATACAAATTATTTGCTATATTTTTTATTTGCTTGGAGTATGAGTGAATAGTAAATAGCAAAAACGAAACATTTGTAATTTCAAAAGGAGATGATATTGGGAGAAAAAAGACATAAATAATCTTTGGAGCATTTATGCAGTGCTTCAATTAATACTTTCAGTAACAATCAAAATTATTCTTTTAGACTAATGTGATAAATAAATTCTGTTGTTATTTTGAAATGTACTCCACAATGGGATTACTATAAACTATGTGAGCAATTAGATGGCTAAAAACTGAGTCTACTATAGTCAGTAAAATAAACACAGTTGGTTCATAACTAACAGTCCAGACCTATATTCTATTTATTAATTTACTTATTTTATCTTATCTTCCTCCAAAAAGTATTTAAAGTGGATTTAAAAAATCATAACAGCAAAAATTAAAATTTAGAAGTTAATAATAGTGACAAAAGGAAGGTATACATTGATTAATAGGACATAGATTAATTCAAACTCAAAGCTAAAATCAGTAAGAAGTTTATCAAACAGAAAACGGGAAATGTGACTTTTATCTGTGTCTAATACAGTTAATTGAATAATTTCTGATATGGGCAATTCACATAGCACCTTCAATTTGCACGTACTCGAAGTTACTTTTATTTTGTTTTTTTTTTCTTTCCAGCTTCATTGAAATATAATCGAAAATTAAAATTGTATATATTTAAGGTGTATAACGAGATACTTTGATGAACTTATATATTGTGAAATGATTACCTAAATAAAGTTAGTTAATACATCTGTCACCTGTTTTAGTTCTCTTTGTTTTTGTACCTGAAGTATAATTGTTTGGAAGAGTAAAAACACAGAATAATAGGTGCTTCTATGTTGTTTAAAACTAAATAACAAAACATGAAGCAAAACTCTTTAAACATGTGTGTAGAAATGCAGCAAAGTTGCTGTTGTGTGGGTGCAAGGATCTCAAGTTGTCTGCTTGACCTTTGATCTGAAACTGTTGTAAACCCAGGATGGATGTCAGAAATTTAATAGCTAAATGAGCCAATTTGGTTCAAAGTTTTTCTATTATTAAACAACATTTCTTATCCCTCAACTAGTCACAGAATTTTGTAAAATATGGATTTCATTACAAAATAGGACACAATTAGTGTTTGGAGACATTAAGGCAATCTACAAAACGGACTACACAAAGGGCAAAAGAACAAATAGAAGGAGATATACATATGTAACTAACCTGCACATTGTGCACATGTACCCTAAAACTTTAAGTATAATAATAATAAATTAATTAATTTTAAAAAAGCAGCATCTCATAAAATTACAAGTCGCAATCTCTGTACTGTGTAGCATTTGTGTACTGGGAACAAACAACACTTCCTGAATGCCAAAAGATTGGCTCCACCTTTTTCTTTTTACCACAAGCATACTGGTTTTATGCTTGATAAAGAAGCAATAGTTTTCCTTTCCCATTTCGAAAGAAGAGGAGGAGAAGGATAAAAGAGGACAATGAGAGGGAGAAAAAAAATAAAAGGATCTGGGGTATGTCAATCCACTCTAAGTTTGCTTTATTCATTTTCAAATGGTTTTCTGGTTAGAATAATTTGCAACCTGACATAGTCTCTGTTGGGTAACTCTTGTAATCTAAACCACCTTTACTGACAATCTGCTGACTATATAAATATTTTTTTAATTATTAAAACATCTCATCCTCTGTATGACTCAGGATTTCCACACTTGAAGACTGCATCAATCTACAGAATGTCAGCACTGCAAGTCATGAATACTGTTGTAATCATCAAGTGGTTTGCCTGTCTTATTCTTGCTTTTAAACAAAGGCAATTTCTTATTTGCTTTGCAAAGACATATGACTATTTCAAAATCACGTGAGACTTTTGCTGCAGACAAGTATTTCATTACTTAAGATCGCCCCAGATTTTCCAATCAGAATAACAGAAGTCATTCTCTCGTTATAAATTCATATATTCAATTTCTTGTTTCCATGTCTCTGCATTTCTACAATGCGAATCTTAAAAAGTCAATTCCTCTGTGGCCTAAAATGTATCAGATATCTAATGGACCCTTGTGGTTAAACTTCTTCTTGGTGATGGAACATAAAAAATTTTGCTTTAATTACCAGGCATTCATATTTGTAAATCTCAAAATAGGCATATGTAAAGCACAAGAAAATGAGCAACTACAAACAAAAAACCCTACAAATAAGTTGCAAAAGAAAAGCAGGGCTGGCTGGGCGCGGTGGCTCATGTCTGTAATCTCAGCACTTTGGGAAGCCGAGGCGGGCGGATCACGAGGTCAGGAGATCGAGACCATCCTGGCTAACACGGTGAAACCCTGTCTCCACTAAAAACACAAAAAATTAGCCGGGCGTGATGGCGGGCGCCCTGTAGTCCCAGCTACTCGGGAGGCTGAGGCAGGAGAATGGCGTGAACCCGGGAGGCAGAGCTCACAGTGAGCCGAGATCATGCCACTGCACTCCAGCCTGGGTGACAGAGCGAGACTCCATCTCAAAAAAAAAAAAAAAAGAAAAGAAAAGAAAAGAAAGAAAAGCAGGGCTACAATTTTTTCTTATTAAGACAACTGGTAATGGTAGATTGGAAAAATTAAGAGTCAACAAGTACATTTAGTTTTTCCCAGTGAGGGTGGAGGGGGGCAAAATTGTTAACCCATGAATCTTATGTGGTCTACATTTATTTGGGATTTCCCAAGACTTTTCTTGCCAGAACAAAATCCACTCTGCTACAGGTTCTGCTCCTATTCATACTTTTCTGCTTCCTCACTTACCCAAATCAAACCTACTTGAAATTAATTCATAACATATCCTGAGATTTCCCCACTGGCTGTCTGAAATCACATCTGCTTGCCTTCTTTATAGTAGCCATTTTCTTTTAGTTCTGTTGTTCAGACTGTGAGATTTTTCAGTAGAAAGGAAAAAAAATCATAAAAATGAAGTGACCTAACATTTTCTTAGGGCCTTAATGATTATATTAAGCACAGTGCTAAGTGCTTTATATGAAACATCATACTTCATGCTCCTAATCATGCTAAAATAATACTTATTTTACAAATGAAAAAATTTAAGTTAAGAGAATTTACGCAATCATTGAGAGAACTAGGATTTTAAAAGAGGTGGTCTGATGTCAGAGTCAATGGTCTTAACCACAATATACGTGTTCACATTATATGAGTTATACTGGCTGTAGCCTAAGTCAAAATTATCACAAAATCAATTCAAGGAAAACTTAACAGATTATTATACTCCTTTTTGCACTGCTTAGAAACACCCTGATTTAACAGAACTGATATGAAGATTAACAAAACAGCCCTCAGGGATTTTTTAAAAATTCTCCATTTGTCACATTTTTCCCAAGATGACATAAATGATGGCATAGTAGTAGGTTACACTTTTGATGAAGACCACTTCAGTGGTATGATAGGATGTGTCATATTTAACTGATGTGTCTCTCTATATGTATCTTTAAATTAACCACCACACCCCCTGCCGGACTTCTCCAGTGTGAACTTTAAAAACATAGGGTGGTCAATTGCCTCTTGAGGCGGTTGTCAGAAATGAACGAAGAAACAAAGATTTCAATTGTTTACTCCAGAGTTTGAGTTTGAAATTCAGTTAGGACAAAAGCCTGAAAGAAACTGAGAGTCCTTAGACCCATTTCCTTACTTCAATGCCAACACCACTACTGCCTGACCACCAAAAGAAAAGGAAAAACAATATTCAGAGCCAGGATGAGAGTAAAGGAAATAAAAACATAAAAAAAAAGACACCCACCACAACAACAAAACAGAAAAACAACAGCAACAAAAAACCTTTGCATATGGGTAAGTGAGAAGTCTTGGTCAAGGAAGAGGATGAGAATATGATTTTCCTTAAAAACTTGAAGATTCTAAACAGTCTTAGTTCGTTTGGGCTGCTATACCAAAATATCATAAACTAGATAGCTTATCAATAACCAAATCTTATTTACCAGAGTTCTGAAGGCTGGGAAATCTAAGATCAAGTTTTCTGGTTCACAGAGAGTGCCTTCTACTGTGTGATCACCTGAGATCTCTCTCAGATCTCTTTTATAAGGGCATTGATTTACATTCATGAAAGCTCTGCCCTCATGACCTAATCACCTCCCAAAGGGCCAGCCTTCTAATACCAGTACCTGGGGGCTAAGATTTCAACATATGAATTTGGGAGAGATGTAGTGATTCAGATCATAGCACTGACTGTACATAAGAAGGCATTATGACTCATTTTCTAACTGAGATTCAGGGAGGCAGCAGCTTCACAGATCTACCTCTTGTAAAATGCTATAGAAATAAGAAAATAGAAATGGCAACATGGTAGGTCTGAGCATGAACAGCCTAGAGACTCCCCCCTCTTTAGTTTACCTCAAACCCTGTTTTATCCCCCCCAAAAAATCTTAAAGCTCGCCTATGTTCCCCATAATTGATATAGGAGACAGTTCAGTGAGAATTCTGGGGTCCTGTCAGTATTAGCTGTGATGTGGGTATCCCACAGCAGAAGAAATAGCATGGGCCACCCCAGATGAGCGTCTTGCAGGGATCACAAACACTGGGAACTGAATTCAAATAGGCCATGTTGAGTAGGCCATTATTAGAAAGAACATTAGAAAGAATATTGTATAGAGAATGCCTGGAGAAACAGATTAGAGGAGGAGGGTATATTGGAAACAGCAGTCCAGGATAAGAATGAAAAGACAGAACCAAAAAGCAGACAACAACTTATCAACTGGACAGTTTTTAACTTGGACGTGAATAACTTTCTAGGAACAGAGGCAACCCCAAGGAAAAAAATGAGGAAAGAATCTGAGAAGACCTTTCAACTCAAATGGGATTTTGTTTTAAACTGAGAATAACGGAGCTGCCAGTGGATTGAACTAAGAATAAACATAATTGATGAGGGTAAGTCTTCTACCATTAGATAGAAATAATAAATAAACATTGGGTAACAAAAAACGTTACACTAATATACAGCTGAGTTTTAGGTACTGTTTGTTTGTCAGAGTCATAACCCACTAAATAAACATGCTCTACTTCTGAGAAAGTATAGTCATTTAACAACACCACTGATCATGGCTCTTTTAAGTAAGTTGAATATGCTTTCAATTAATTTTATTGCGGGAGATAAAAGAGGTAACCATACAATGGGAAACATGCTGTTGATTAAAAAAAGAGAACATAAATAGGAACATAAAGCCTGAAAGTGTGTGTAGAAACTTTGAAGACCTAAAAGTAAAGATAGCATTTGTATGGGTAAGTGTAAACTTTTCATTTCATACATATTAAAAGTCAAGAAGCCATGTGGATTAGAATGCTTACTATTAGACTATAAGAACCTGGTAACATTTCTATATTTAAAAAATAGATCTCCCCTTTCATCCATCCTTTAATAAAGATAAGAAATACTTATTACAAAGTTAAATACATACAACACTGTGTCAGATGCTACATCAAAATATCCAAACTTCACCAGCAAATTGACAGCTAACACTGACACATTGACATATGATCACAAAAAGGTGCGAGAGACAGTCATACTATTTTCTATTACTTTATGAAATTATCACTGTTAATGATCATACAATTGCATTTGTTTGTCTGAGCCCTGAGGCAATCACTTTAAATACTAGTGAAGAATTTCTAAATAAGATCTGTGTAGGGGTAGGACCTTAACACTTGCAAGAGAAAAATGTAAGAGAGAAGGCTACTCAATCTGAGAACTGTGATTTCATTTCAGGTGAATATCAAGATTAATATATAGGCGCTACATTTTAAAACATTTTTAAAACTCTTAAAACATCATGGAATTCTTGCTTAAAAATCAAGTTACATAGTGTTTAGAAAGTAAAAAGCCTACATAATATCACCTATCATCAGACAATTTGCTAAGTGTACCCAATCTACATATATACACATACCACTTGCCTATTTCATCAGCAGTATTATCTTGGAAAACCATTCCAGGTCTGTATGTGTAGCTCGACCCCATCCTTTTGGAGGGCTGCACAATATTTATTCTATAGTATACTATTACCCAATTCTCTATAGATGTACATCTTTTAGATAGACACACACACACACACACACGGGTGTACAAAGTTGCTGTTACTTGTGTGAATATTTACGAGTTACATTTCTTAGAAAAATATACATGTGTATAATTGCTGAATCCAAGCATATGAACATTTACATTTACATATTTAATTGTGGTGGCTAAATGTGTTTAGGAAGTTTGTACCCATATTTATATATTTTTCCTATTTATGATCAATATTATAGATTAAAAGTATCTAGTTGTTTCAATGTTAGTTTCTTTCACTGTTAGTGAGGCTGGATATTGTCCGATTATGGCATTTATTCCTCTGTGTTTTAACTCTGGCCACATGTTTATGCTTTTTAAAAAGTAATTTTCTAGTTGATTTTTAAATGCTTTTTGTATACTAGCATTTAGTATACTTTTAGGTATACTAGCATTTCTTCCCATGTATTACAAATACTTTTGCTAGTTTGATGACTTCTCTCCATATTTAATATGCAAATTTTGAACAATAATTCTTTTTAAAGTAATCACAAATAAGGTGTATTTTCTTAAACCAGACCAAAGATTAAATTTATTATATTTTAAGTGCAATTATTCTCTTATAATTACAATTCTTGCACACTAAAATCATTACAAAAGATACCTAGCATGGCAGCATAATAATTTTCTGGCAAAGGAGGTTTTCTGTTTATAGAGGTATTTTCTCCAGGCACATTTAGAATTCACTTAAAATCTCCACGTAGTAGTATTGTCAGAAACAATGAGGTTAAAAACTGTCTGAACTTGTCAAAATGTCTTTAAGCTCAGATTCAAAATAGGGCAGAAATGTAAAACCCACTGAAGCTGATGTTACTAGAAAACCATAATCCACTATGTTATTTTAAGAAGTACAGCACCTGCTCACCTGAGGGAAACATTGCAGGTGAGAAAAGTTCAGCCACCCAGGTGTTTCTACTTGCTGGTGTTTCCCAGACCCAGACAGCAAGCCACTTTATTCTGTTTGCTCTCTCAGTACCCACCTCCCTCCAAAAACCACAAACTCTCCTGTGCACAGAATCTCTAGCCTTTGCCTTTAGCGACATCCACTTCCTCAGACATGTGCATATTAAAATGCATAGCTGGAGGGTAAATTGGCAAGTACTTAAAGCATCAGGATATAAAGTTACAAATCTGAACCAGTTGTTTAAAAACTGACCTTGTGGACATATATAAAAAACATGAATCATAGAGTTAGGTAGTTTTTTTTATCATAGTGGCAATTTACCAGTCTCAAAATTTGAATGTCAAGGTGGCCAATAACCTCTTGGGTGATAGAAGCTGGGGACTATATGGAACGATATGGAATTTAGACACTGCTTACCAATTCGGTGACTTCAATTTCAAAAGCAGATATAAAGAAACTTTGAAGCCGGAGACAAAGAATAAAGGAAAGGAAGAAGGGAGTGGGGAAAATGAAATGGAATACTCTTTGTAATTTCTTCTACAGGCTTTCTCCCAGAACTGGAGAGGAGCAAAACCAAAAAAAAAAAAGCTTGGATCACTTATTGTAACCAAAACCACAAGTTATAATAGTCTCAAGAGATTCTAACTATCCAGACATCTGTTGGATAACAAATGTAGCCAAACATGCATCTTTAAAGAGGTTTCTAGGTTATGCAGTGACAGCTTTACAGTCCAGAAAACAGATAATCCAATCAAAGAAAGAGCTAATCTGGATCCATTTCCTACCCAAAAAAAAAGTAATTAAGGACATAACACCAACATAGGAAACATGATACCTAGGAGTATGACTTATAACATTTACTACTCCAAAATTTTCAAAAGACGCTTAGAAACTGCTGAAATATACTTGCATTTTAATGCCTATTTGATATAAGTAATCAATCTCTCTATTAATGCAAGATATATTGGAAAGCATTCCATTAGAATGAGATATGTTGCATATATATCAATTCTTGCATTGACATCAGAAACTTTTCATCTCTCTCTCTCTCTCTTTTTTTTTTTTTTTTTTTTGAGACGAAGTCTCACTCTGTCACCCAGGCTGGAGGCTGGAGTGCAATGGTACCATCTCGGCTCACTGCAACCTCTGCCTCCTGGGTTCAAGCGATTCTCATGCCTCAGCCTCCCCAGTAGCTGGAATTACAGGTGTGTGCCACCCCGCCTGGCTAATTTTTTGTATTTTTAGTACAGACGGAGTTTCACCATGTTGTCCAGGCTGGTCTCAAACTCCTGACCTCAGGTGATCCACCCACCTTGGCCTCCCAAAGTGTTGGGATTACAGGTGTGAACCACCGTGCCTGGCCTCATCTCACTTTTATGTGACATGAACAGAAGCTCGCTCTCTGACATTTTCCAAAAGAGACTGTCCAATTCAAGTAAACATAAATAGGGCTTCAATGATTATGAAGATGCTAAGCATCACCTAATAGTGCTCAAGTAGACCAGGCATGAAAATAAACACTATAACACATACTTGTGTTAAAAAAATTATGAATTAAGTCCCCAGCATATCAGACTGTAACCCAAAAATAAAAAATACCTAGCATATTTTGCTTCTCATCAGTCCTTTTTGCCAAGAAATTCAGAACATGTTGCCTGCAGACAACTGTTTGTGAAACCTTATATTACTGATAAAGAGAACAAGAAAAGAATAGTTAGGCAGCCTGAAAGGGAATAAACAGTATCTGTAAATTCCTCAGGCCATATAGAATTTTTCTATATAATCTTTGCAGACTGTTCGAAAACGGATATAAAATTGTCAGGGAACAAGTTCTGAAACAGATTTCTTCATTTGAGCTGTTCCTTTAGATGCACCCCTATATGACAGATGAGAAACAGCAAAGCTGAAAGTATTATTTGCTGATAAGAACCTGACCACTGAAACAGGCTTTCCAATGCTTTGTGTCGTTCTCTATTGAGAGTCATATCAGGACAACCTGCGAGTTATGGCTTCCTTCTATAGTGAGTGAGCACATCAGTTTCTTTTGGGAAGACAAGTTTTACTTTGAAAAAGTCTCCACCTTCCAACCGCAGCTAGTTGATGACAACTCCTTTAAGAAAACTCTCAAAAGATGATGGCATTGCCTAATCTTGCTTGCAGTTTTTAAGAAAATACTTGGCCTGGCGCAGTGGCTCACGCCTGTAATCCCAGCACTTTTGGAGGCCGAGGCGGGCGGATCACGAGGTCAGGAGATCGAGATCATCCTGGCTAGCACGGTGAAACCCGGTCTTTACTAAAAATACAAAAAATTAGCCGGGCATGTTGGCGGCGCCTGTAGTCCCAGCTACTCAGGAGGCTGAGGCAGGAGAATGGCCTGAACCCGGGAAGCGGAGCTTGCAGTGAGCCGAGATCGCGCCACTGCACTCCAGCCTGGGCGACAGAGCGAGACTCCGTCCCACCGTCCCAAAAAAAAAAAAAAAAAAAAAGAAAGAAAATACTTAAGATAACGAGGGATGCTCTCCAATTTACGTAGTAATTTATATGGCAAAGGAGCTTTAAAACTCCTTCATAAAATTAATGCTAAGATTAAAAGAAACTGATTAGATTTGCAACTTTTAAGGATTAGCATTTATTATTGAAGTTTTGTTGAGCCTAATTCATAGTCTAACTTCCTTTTTTGTACTTAAAATTTTTTTTGTTTTATATGAGTGCCAGGGATGAATAAATATCTCAACAATACGTAAGCATAATGGGATAGGTTTTTATTTTTAGTACCCTCTCATTCCACGTGGCAGGGTATTCTAGATAGGGAAAATGTTCAAATGTATAAAAATGTCTTGAAGATGTTAACCCCGCAATATTTTTATCTTCTTTTCCATTGTCTGCCCAATCAATACAAAAGCACCTAGTTTTCACTGCACGGCCAATATCAGCAAACACTACTATCAGGAAACTTAACTGTAACAAGTATCACAGCTAATCTTCAAGAACAGGAAATAATTAAGTCAGACACAGACAAAATAAAAATGACAGATGCATTCACAGCTTGCACCTCAATTCTTCAGGATGCCTCAAACCTCCAATGTGAATTAATTTTTTGTCGTAATGAACCATATCTCAGATTCAGAACCATGAGAGTTTTCATTCTGTATCATGTATCACCGTCTAGAAAACACAAGCTCATTGGGTTCTCCCAGCTGTGTCAGGGGAGGAAGTGTCCTCTCCATTTTGCATCTAAGGAAGAGGAGGAGCTGAGGGGTTACAGGCTTACTCAACGTAATGCAGCTAATAAGTGGTGATATGTATGCAGAATCTGTGTTTCAGTCCCATTTTTCCCTACATATATCTGGACAGAATTTCTACATCTCTGCAAATATTAAAGATGCCTACATTGACCAGGATTTTTATGAGCCCCTAAGTGAATTTGGGAGGGGGTAATAAATTACTAATAAAATTAATATATCTCTTTTCTTTTTTTCCCTGTCTGCCTCTCTCTCTCTTTCAATGCATACATACAAATATGTACATAAATAAACATGTATATATATTCTTCTTCTAAAGTCCTTCTCCTTCTTTCCTCCTCAAACTCCTATTAGTGACCTCAATACCTGCAGCCCCAAAAGAAAACACATTTTGACAAACTAGTCTTCTCTGCTTTCATTGAATGATATGTACGTGCACATACGATACAGACAAATATGCACACTTTTTTGTTATTATTTTCCAAAAAAGACATATATGTGCTTTTCTTGAGCTTTTCTTTTTCAGTCAGCAATACCATATGGAACACAATTCACTCATAGATCCCACCTCTTGATGGTAATCGCTCAATTCCATTTTTTTTTTGTTACTGCAAACATTGTCACAATAAACATTTTTGTACACATATCATATGCTGCTGCTTCTATTTATGGGAGGTAGACTCATAGGAGTAAGAATGCTCAGCCAAAGTTTATGAAAATTATTACTGTTACTACATTTTCCAGTCTACTTCTTTAAAATACTAAAACTCTAATTTTCTACCAGCAATATATGAGAAATGGCAGTTTCTCTTACCAAGACGTCTTTTACAATGATTCAAATTTACACCACGTAACTATTTGTATTATTATGCAAGCACATCCTAAAACATAACACCTTTACAAAGCTCCTGCACCTGTTCCACCAAGTAGGAGAAGAATCTGAGGCAAATCCCCATACTTTAGGCATTGTGACATTATGGCACCATTTTATGGAGGAAAGCCCACAGAAGCCCATGGGCATGATAGCTACATGGATCTCAGAGAGCAGGGGAATTTCATTAAGGTCCTGCAGCATCCAGGCTTGAATACTTGAAACTGACAGCAATGCTCTGGAATGCATTTCTCCCCTCTTATTCATCATCCAGTTACTTTTCATGCAGATCTCACAGGCTGGGATCTCCTGGCATTTTGCATGCATCTCAAAGATGGTTTCCATTACCCTTCTGGTCATGAAATTGTCATTCTGGACACGTGCCCTACACAACTAACACCAATCAAGAGTTTGTAAATATTTTAACATAACTCTGATGTTTTTTTCCTCAGTGGAAAATAGGCTTATGACATATGCCAGAGAAAAAGAAAAAGTTTTGTAGAAAGTGTGAAGCAATCGGGTGTTGATTAGAAAAATTTTTATTGTTACCAAATCATCATAAACTCAATAATGACAACAAAGTCCAGAAAAAGTATTTCCATTATTCATAAACATTCTGCCTGGTATTTTTAAAAACAATCTGCACCTATTGCTTTATGATGTTCTAACTATCCTAGCTGAGATAATGCCCTCAAGGTAGGTACACAAAATTCTATAAATCTTTCTTGAATCATAATAATGAGATGGAAAAAAATCATATAGTCCTAGGGCTGGCTTCCATATAGAACTGTCATTTTACCTGCCTACATACTGAGATCAAATGATTATAAGTAAACTTTTATGCCTATTATATTTTTAATACCATTTTTAAACATCTTCATAACTTCCTAATCATTTATACAGATTACTAATATTGTCAGGAAAGGCTTCAATGAATCCCTAATGCCATAGCCCTCAGAATTCAGATGGCTAATGTATGCTCCCTGAGAAGAAGTGAAGTAGAAGGAAGTAAACTATTTTTAGTTGAGCATCTACAATATATGATATTTTGATGCCCTCTCATCTTTAGGGTGAAAAATATCACAGTGCTTTAATATTTTAACATAAATCAAACTATTCTGTTTATTATTGAGGCTAATGATTCATCTCCATTTCATTGTAAAGCCTGGAATTGGAGCATTATTATATTTAGTAAATATTCAAGGGTCTTGAGTTGTAAATCTAGGTTTCCTTTAGTCCTTTTTGTAAATGTAACTGGGTATTGTAGATGTTACTGGGTATAAAGCTCCATAATTTTAATAACATTAGTACCCCAATGAAATTAACATATCGTAACTAACTTTTAAAGTGTGTTATTTAGCAAGGTTATTTGTAGAACTTTCCTGCAACTAGTGATTTTTACCCAGGTGGGTTAGCACCAGACCACCTAAAAGAAATCATAGGTCTTGAGATGTGAGTTAAGTTTTGGCAAATTTACAGGTGGAATGGAAAAGTAAGAATTAAATAGATCTATCTCTCTTTCATGGAGAGAAACTGCCTCTCCATTTGCTTCTCTAGTATATTCGCTATTCTCACCCGGTTTTTTGTATTGCCTGTACCTAACAAAACCAAGATATTTATGTTTTTAATTAATAGATTTCATTATAAAGCATCATTGTAGTGCCAACCGTCATAATCTTAAACACTAAGGTAGTTTAATTAGTATGTTCCAAAGTGAATAGTATATAACAATTTTGAGAACTTAAACCCATTAAAATATAATTTTTGTCACTTGTGAATAATGTCCCTTTCACAGAATATTCAGATTAAATCAGAATGTTGTTTTTAAATATAGTTTACTGGCCTTAAACCATAAATAATTCGGAATACCACTTAATGTGATTCTGTTTTTATGATATCATCAGGCACAAGCTGTCCATGAAGAGAAAAGCATAGATTAGGACATTTATCTACTCCTGACTTCCTCTGTAGTACCCAGCTCTTCCTATCTAATATCAAAATGGAGACCCTCAAACAATTTTTTTCAGTTTTCTTAACAGATAAACTTCATTCACAGATTAGAGAGTAAAGTTTATTGCTATGAAAGTCTGTTCAGAGAGAATACTAGAAACAACTTCCTGTGCTTATGGCAAACTTCTCAGTCTGTACTTTGCAAGTAATTTGTGGACTAGTAGCTATTGTAGTTTTGTTCCCTCTGTCTGGCAAATAACCATTGTCCCCGTCTGTGACACACAGTCTTGATTTCACTTGTATCTAAAGGTATCTTGCTAAGTAAGAGATGAACCAGATAGTGTTTAATATCTGGATATAATCACAGTTTGGGGCCAGCTCATATAATGACTCACTCATAAAATCCACTATTAGGTGGCTACTTACGCAAATTAATGCCTAGTTTTTTTGAGAGGCAAAAGGTACATCAACATATGTTTACTCCCTCTAAGCTCTAGATTTCATGGACCTGCGAAATATTAGGTTATGCAAAAGTAATTGTGATATATATATATATATATATATATATATATATATGCATATGATGTTGTTTTGTTTGTTTAATATTAGGTTACCTAAATATATTGTAGTAAAAAGTATATGAATACCTCAATTCTAAGTTGTTTATGTATACTGTATATTGCATTGTTGTGACATTCATCAAAGTAAAAATAGATATTTATAACAAAATTGTAGCTAAAATAACATGAGGGATCCCAAGAAAAATAAATCTGTGGATCTACAGATGAATACAATCTCATGCCATGAGCAGCTTGTGTTTATAAAGAAGTCACACCACAAAGCATGACTACTTTTGTTTTTGGTACATTTAAATAAAGTGGATGAAGTGGAAATTATGAAAGTCAAGTTTAAATTTCAGTAAAAAGCCCTTATTAACAAATCTTCACTTGAAAAATTAATTTAAACTTGGCTGGAATGTACAAGATTGTATGTCTTACATTAGGTAAATTATTGGCAACAACAGGAAGTAAGAATGACAACATTTCACTAAAATGCCCGGAATGATTATGACCACTAAAAGAGGACTACTATGTCAGAATTTACTTAATGTTATCACTAAAAAATCTGAGGAAGATAAGAGGAGACATATTCTTGCATTCACACGTGAATGCCTGGTAATATGTTGTACACGATCACAAATATTTCCACATTTAACTCTCTCCTTCCTTATACACAAAGGGGCCCAGTATAATACTCTGAGATAGCTGAAATCAGTCCTCCACATCCTGTGACCCTCCCTTATTCATTGTACTATTCTAGGTGTTATCTCTGGCCCCAACTACCCTTGTTAACCTAGGTTACACGCAGCTTAATGTAAGGTGAAAGTCATTCACAAAAGTTGAAAACTATGGCTTCTATTATGCAGAAGTGACAAAGCTAAATGAGAAGTTAATAAGTACACCCTCAAAAAATGTGTTCATCAGAAAAGCAGAGTGAAACAATCTCCTGCTAAACACAATTTAAAATGCTTTTTTACTGAAGAATATATAAAACATTTTATATGCTATAGGGAACTGTGATCTCTAAGAGGTATATGGTAGGCAATGTAAATAAATTCATTTGATAATAGATCTTTTCTTTTTTCAATTAAGCCCTTATTATCACATTCTGAGTATTTTTCCTATGGAACCCATGAAACTCAGTTTAAAGACTGATAAAGGAAAGGGAAAAAGCCTAATGTGAGATTTGTGATAACAGCCTCTTGGTAAAGATGAGCATTTTTCACGTGGAGGGCAAATACAAATGACTTATGATCATACCATACTGATCATTTCAAGGTACCTGTATGTAATACCTGTTCAACAGAGGGAGCAAAAAGTAAGAGTGAGCTCGCATGACAGCAAAGCAACACCAAGACAGAGGTTAGAGGAATAAGGAGCCCTGGGTGCAAAATATGGGGTGGCATACACTTGCACAGCCCTCACAGTATGGATCCTTTTAAATTTTGTGCCAGAGGCACCTCACTGTCCTCACCACCACTCAGCCCTTCGGAAAAAATGGACCACCTTACTTCATTCCTATGGCAGTTTTGCCTACCAAACCTCAAACTCTACTATAATATGTTGTAATGAATCTTAACAATTTAAATACTAAAAAAAAATTTAAAAAACAAAAATTTAAATTTAAATATTTTAAAAATTGCATATATATGCTCTTTGAAAAAAATTCAAAAAATATAGAAATACATAAAATAAAAAGTGAGGTTCTCTTAACCCCACAGTTCTACTCCTAGATATATTTCCAAGAGAATTAAACACACATTTACTTAAAAATTTGTACATGAGGGCTGGACACAGTGGCTCACACCTGTAATCCCAGCACCTTGGGAGTCCGAGGCAGGTGGATCACGAGGTCAGGAGTTTGAGACCAGCCTGGCCAAAATAGGGAAGCCAGCCTTCACTATTCAAAATAGGGAAGCCAGCCTTCACTATTCAAAATAGGGAAGCCAGCCTTCACTATTCAAAATAGTGACTATCTACTAAAAATACAAAAAATTAGCCGGGCGTGGTGGCAGATGCCTGTAATTCCAGCTACTCAGGTGGCTGAGGCAGGACAATTGGTTGAACTCGGGAGGCAGAGGTTGCAGTGAGTCAAGATCTCGCCATTGCACTCCAGCCTGGGAGATAAGAGTGAAACTCTGTCTCAAAACAAAACAAAACAAAACCTTGCACATGAGTGTTCATCACAGTATTATTCCTATTAGCCGAAAAGTAGAAACAAATCAAATGTCCATATTCATTTGCTTATGCATCAAATGCATAAACAAAATGTGGTATTATCCACCCAATGAAATCGTACCTAGCCCCAAAAAAGAATGACTTTATGATAGATGCTACAACACGCATGAAACTTGAAAACATTACACAAAGTGAAAAAAGACACAAAAAGCCACATATCATATAATTCCATTTGTATGAAATTTCCAAAATAAGAAAATCCACAGAAGTAGAAAGTAGACTAATATTTGCCAGGCATAGCGGATAGGGAAAATTGGGAGTTATTCCTAAGAGGAATAGGAGTTCTTGTTACAGTGATGGAATGTTCTCTAATTAGAAGGTTGCACAATATTGTGAATATATTATAAGACCAATCAGTTATACTTATTAAACTGGTGAAGCATATGCTATTGTGAAATATATCTAAATAATAAATTTTTAGAAGTTAAATAAAGTGTAAGTCTGTCCATCTTCTCTTACATAGCTAGAATTTACAGAGTACATGTTATATGCCTGGTATATTTGTAAATGCTTTACTGCATGAACTAATTTAATCTCAAAACAATCCTATTAGGCATTGTTTACAGATAAAGAAGTTGAAGTAGCAGGAGGGTAAAGTCATTGGTCCAAAGTCTGCTTCTTTTGTAAGTGGCAGAGCTGGGCTGACAAAATCAGGCAGTCTGGCTTCAAAGCTCATGCCGTCCACTAACTCTCCAGGAGTAACTACAATTAAAAGTTGGGATATACACTTCAAGATAATTTTCATTGAGGGAGTGCATGCACCCACCTGCATGAATGTGTGTAGAAGATAAAAATTATACACAGGGATGATACTGAGGGTCAGCAACTACCCACAGGCCAAATTCAGCATCACCTGTTTATGTATACCCATGAATTAAGAATGCAGGAGTGAATTTTTCAGTGGTTGGAAGAAAAGAAGAAAAAAAGCAGAGTAGCATTTGATGACACGTGAGAAATATATAAAACTCAAATTTCAGCACCAACCAATAAAGTTTTATTGGAACACAACTATCTTCATATAAGTTTTGTCTATAGCTGTTTCTGTACCACATGAGCAGAGTAGAATTAGGTAGTGGTAACAGAGACCTGTATGGCATGGCAAAGCATAAAATATTTTTATCTGTTTCTTTACAGAAAAATTTTGCTAACCCCTGGATTATGCCATACATGATATTATAAAACTTTCGTTTGTCACTACACATTATATGACGTTCAACCTTCTAGATTTCAAGGTTTTCTTAATTTCTTCAAGTAGATACAGTGAAAAAATGAACCTAAAATTATTAAATTATTTGCAATGAATTGAATGTTTATGACTCCCCTCCAAATAAATTCAGATGTTGAAATCCTAACCCCCAAGGTGATGGTATAAGAAAGCGAGCCTTAGAAGGTAATTAGGTTATGAGGGTGGAGGCCTCATGAATGGCATTAGTGCCCTTATAAAAGAGATCCTGAAGATTACTTTGCCCGTTTCACCACATGAAGTTACAATGAAAAGATGGGCATCTAGAAAACAGGCCCTTACCAGACATCAAATCTTTTAGAACCTTGATCTTGGATTTCCCAGCCTTCAAAACTATGACAGTAAATTTCTGTTGTTTATAAGCTACACAGTGTATGGTATTTTATTATAACAGCTTGAAAGCACTAAGACATCATTTCTCTACTAATGAAAATTTCATGTTTTTAGGCCGGCGCAAGTGGCTCACGCCTGTAATCCCAGCACTTTGGGAGGCCAAGGTGGGCAGATGATGAGGTCAGGAGTTCGAGACCAGCCTGGCCAACATAGTGAAACCCCATCTCTACTAAAAATACAAAATTAGCCGGGCATAGTGGCATGCACCTGTAGTCCCAGCTACTCGGGAGGCTGAGGCAGGAGAATCACTTGAACCCAGGAAGTGAAGGTTGCGGTGAGCTGAAATTGCGCCACTGCACTCCAGCCTGGGCAACAGAGCCAGACTCCATCAAAAGAAAAAAAAAAAAAGGAAAGAAAGCAAATTTCATGTTTTTACCAACTTCTTCTCAAAATAGTTGGTTTAATGTATTTATCTTCTAATGGATGTGAAAATGACCTATATTTTAATGGTCCCGGTCACCTGGACTTTGAGAAGTTTTATGACTGTATGAAGGTTCTTCTCTTGGCTGCTCAGTAGTCACCCAATATCGATGCTGAGTTTTCAGCTGAGTCACCGTTTCTGGCTGTATGTTCAGGCCAATGTGGCACAGGTTACACAGAGGGACCCAACTTTCACTGTTCTCAACTGCTCTGCTACCCCTTCCTAGCTTGGTCCTACTATGCAGAAACTTCTGTTCATTTAAAAGGAGTTGGAAAAGTGGTACAGTAGCTACTACCCCTTTGCTGTCCCTCTTTAGAGGACAGTGTGGTGTGCAACCAGATCCCTCTCCCTTTAGGACCGAGGCATTTATTCTCTTGTTGCCGGCAATTCCTGACTCTCAGTTGCTTCTCTCTTTGGGAATTGCCTTCAGCTGAACAAACCCACCTGGCCCAATATCATGTCCCCTTACCAGAGGCAGATCACAACTTCTAACTGGTCAATTCAGGAATGTAAAAGCCCAACCCCCTTGACCCCAGGCAGAACAGTTATGAAGAACCATCTCACTCCAGAGCTCCTTGTAGAATCCAGGCCTCTATTGACTTCATCAGTGAGACTTCTGCCCAAATCTCTCATTCTCCAAAGATGTTGCCCTGAGAACATTACCCCATAAATTGTCTACAAGCAAATCTGAGTCTCAGAGTCTGTTTCCTAGAAAAATTGACGTACAACACCCCTCTCTAACTCCTCCCAAAGATAGAGAGATGTAATATTTGTCATTATATCTGAGTTTAGCAGAATAAAATGACCACATATGGCTCAGCCCCTCCCACTGTCTCTTTTTCGGGCCAGCCTCGATGCATGATGGTGCATTGTCCTCCTGCTTGTGCCTTTTGTAGGGACACACACAAGGCTTAGGCCTTGGATTACGTTTTTCAGAGACAAATCTGAGCAATCATCAGTCTCTTCACAGTAACGGAGCTCTAAGCTGTATAACAAGGAAGGTGTCTACGGGAATCTTCTCTGAACTCTAGATTTTCCCCAGAACTGCATGTTCCAGAATCTAAATTTAGCTGAAGGCAGTAGGAGGTCTAACTGTGGCATTAAGTCTAACCTAGAATCTCCAATTCTGCCTGATCAATGATTATGCTAATAATTTTATCTTTATTTTCATGATTCCTTTGTTTTCTCAATTGGGTCAAAATTTATGAAACGAATCTTGATTACTGTCCTAAACCCATGCTGACAAAGGGCAGCATGCCACACATGCAATAGGAAAACCTTCATCTTTCACTATTAACCATTTTAATAGTTGAATTCACCTAATTTTATCTGATTTACTTATACAAGGAGATGTTATCCCAGCAATCTCTCAGAGAGGGACACGTCTTAGTTCAAACTTCAGCTTGGACACATAACAATGTAATTTAAGCAAGTAGTTTTCTGAGCCTCAGGTTTCTTATTCATAAATGAAACTAACAAGGTCTATCTCAGATTTAGTTTAAGAACTTAAAGTAATAGTGTGTGTGTGTATATATATATATATATATATATATATATATATATATATATATATATATATAGTACCCCAGGTAATGCCTTATATTGTGAGTAATAAATGCTCATTCATAGCTCTGTAAGTATGAAGAGTTATTATAAATGATATCCAACTGGGTCCTCTCAAGAATTTCCAGGGAACAAAAACCCTCTTGTCTATTTCCAAAAGGTGTGAGAATGGCTTTTCATCTTGATGAGATTATTTCAAGCTGAAATTCTGTAACAAGTGAGTGAATCAAGCTCACACCAAAGTGAACAAGTACAAAAGTAGGCTCTCAAAATGAAAGAGCAATAATCACATCCATTTCCCCCCTTATTGGTAGAATTCATAGAGGGAAGAACACGCCCTTTGCCTGCTAAGAGCATTGTTGCTGTTGCCACATAAGTACCACATAAAACAGAGAAGAGCCTCCTGAGACCTGCTGTCCATGAAGGCAGCTGCCAAATTGGGAACTCTAATAAGATCTGGCCTCAGGCATCAAATGACTCCCAAGTTGTCTTTATTTTGTTAGTATGTGGCAAAGAAAGAAGGGAAGCCTGTGCCTGCTGTGCCATCACACACGCATCTGCAGAGGGATTACCAAGTCCCCTGATACTTTGTTTAGAAAAGCAGCTTGAACCCAGTCTCAATAGGAAGCTGAAATGTGTTAGATGGGGCAATGATCAACAATGGAAAGCTCAGTGGAGAAAAGTTAACCAAAATAAGAACGTTCCACTCATGTCACGGGAGAGGTAAAATAAAGCTGAGCATTTATGACTCTGGGGAATTATTTGTTGTGAACCAGCACATGATTAAGGGTTCTCCACACTACAGAAAAGCTAAGGAAGGAAAGAATTTCTTTAAGCTTTTGGAAAGAGAGTTCCAATGTGCCACAAAATGTTCTAGCAAAAGAACCTGGGACCCACTACTTTGGACTCCAGGGATACAATGATCAATTTGTCGTTTTGGGCTCTGATGCCTATGATTTCATGAGCTCAGAACTATGAATACTATTAATATGACCAGTCTGGTCCAAAAATCAAGCTCAGACATTTGACACAGAACCTTCAGAACTATTGAATTCCAGACAGGAGATGAATGCTCTGTGAAGAAATCATTTCCTTACTATTAGTTTCTAAATCTGTTGAATATAAATTTTATAGTAGTCTTTTAAGTCTTGTATTATTTAAATCAGAGACAGGGAGAGAGGAGAGGAACAAAGGAGGAGGAATAAGAGAAAAGAAGGAAAGGCAAAGGAGGATAAAGTCAGGGAACGGAGGGCAGAGGAGGGGAGAGGAGGAAGAAAATGAAGAAAAAAATCATTCTTTTAAAATATGTTCCCTAATTCTTGTTCAAAAGGCTACACTATAGACTATATTTCAGAAACCAGTTTTTATAAGTCATACATAAGGCCTAACAAAAAAAGAAAGGAAAGAAAAATTACTGAAGTGCACCATTTCTGAATTCTGTTAGGCCTGACACATGGTATAATGCTCAGAGACATGGGAGATTTAAATAATGGGCTCATTTCTTTTTAAACAGAAGGTACCAGAGATTCCATTTCAAAGGAACAGACTACTAACCTAAGATATGAGAGAAAAGCTCTGAGACCTTTCTCAGGCTGGATTTCATGAGCTAGTCATACCAGTTTCTGCAGGAATGCAGAAATTATTGCAAAATGGCTAGGTTCCATAAACATGTTGGTAAAGTTTAACTTTACAGATAAGAAAAAATAATTTCAAAACAAATTTCCACCCTTTCTTAAATTAACTTTATCTTGTTATAGGAAGAAAGAAATCCAGCAGCTTACCTGTATCGAATCCCACGCTGGGCACTATGTCTACTGTTCCATGAAAGGCTCCAGCCCATGCTGAGGTAGCAGAGGTGACTGTAGTTGGTTCTGTCTTTGTGATGTCACACTGGGGAGCAGGAATCCTGGCCGCATGCACTGAAGGCATCAGCAGAGGCCCATAGGATGGATCCAGGGCAGAGCCAGCAGGAGGGTGGTGATGGTGATGATGGTGGCGGTGGCGGTGGTGCATGTGGGCATGAGGGTGGTGGTGCCGCATGTACACGTCATGCATATGGCTGTAGGATGGGCTCACCTGAGATGTCAAAGGATAAGGCCAGGACTCAGACACAGCAGGGGGAGGGGCTGGGCCAGTCTGATGCAGGTTGTGTCCCGGCCAAGGACTGGGATCAGCTGCAGAAAAGGTGCCAGGGGGTCCAGTGACCTGGAAGTCAGGATGAACTCCCCCCAAACAAGGTGCAGGTGGGGGCTGGTAAGAGCTGGTCCAAAAGGAAGTTGGGAAACTATTCCGCTGGCTTGAGAGAGCTGAGCTGTCTGAGAAGACAGAAAATAAAAAACATTATTAACATAAGACTCAGTTTTGGGATAGACTTGCCTCTAATTGTCCACTCTAATTGTCCAATAATATTTTACAAGCAGTCAAATTAGCATGCACTCTTATTCTCCCCAAACAGGGGTGAATTGATACCAGGTTGGCCTCTGGGCTCGCAAGCCAATGGGTCCATGTGCAAGATCCAAAGTGTTAAATGAGCCTCCCTCCATTTGCTTTGCTTGGCTTATGCCGTCACAGTCTGTGCTAAGGTTTGCAATTTGGGGATTGAAAAATTTCATTTCCTTCTGAGTACCTTGCAGCCATTAGGCCTAAGAGGAGGTCATATCTACCCACTTCACTGGTAAAGAAATCTTATGCCATAAATGAGGTTTGTATAAGTTGGACATGATCATTTTTACCAACTTCTAAATGCAAATACAATTTTCATTTAAATGAAACATTTTAATGCCGAAGGTAACAATGGAAGTAAGATTACAATTACTTATACTCACTAACACTCATTTTCCATTAAGAAGAGTGTATTCCAACCTCATTTTATTTATTTATTTATTTATTTATTTATTTATTTATTTATTTATTTTCTGTGGAGATCTGGGAGTCTCTAGACCGAGAATAAAAATGGTCAATATTTAATGACAGTATCAAATGCCCAACATTTTTCCAGGGGCTTTTCATGGATAATCTCATAGGAGTTTCATTCCAGGCCTATGGGGTAGTTATTGTTATTATTCCCATGATGAGAAAATCCCAGTAGAGAAGAAGCCTAAGGCTTAAGATGGCAAGAATGGGACTAGGCTTTGAAGCCAGGTGGCCTAAATGGCCAATGGCTGGGCCTCTTCATAAAGTGCCACAAGAGGGCGCAATTGTAACTGTGAACCTCAACATCTCGAATTTGGTGAAGATCCTATGGAAATGATGAGTGGAGGAAATTCAAGTAGAAGTCATGGGTTTGAGGAAGTATTTTGGGGAGAGGGAAATATCAAAGAATAGCACTTAGAGACGAATAAGAAAGAAAACGATCCCCTAACTCTTCATCAGTTCAATTTCCTACTCAATCGTAATAACACATTTATACACGACCTACTATGTATCAAACATAGGCGTCAGGGATGACCAAATGGACATCATTTTTAGTCACAATCTGCAGAAGGATAGATAAGTAAAAACAGACATGTGCAAGGTGACACGGTAGGTATTCTCCCAACAGGAAGCACAGAGAGCCCCGACCCAGCTTAGAGAGTGATAAGTGGAAGCTGACAGACTGAGTGGGGGCTAGCCCTGGGAAGTAAGCTTTAGGCAAATGGATCAGCACATAAGAAAAGGCCATATATTACACACACGCACACACACACACACACACACACACACACACACACACATATGACAGCAGCAGCATTTGAAAGACAAAAAGAGTTCCATAGGCAGAAGGTGGCAACAGAAAAATTGAGACTATTGAAATGAGGACCAAGATGGGTGTAGACTTGCTGGCCATGGTACTGAATGTAAATTCTATTCTGAGGTGGCAGGGTCTCAATGGGCTTTGAAGGGTTTTAATCTAGTAAGTGACACAGTCAAATCCGTTTGTGGAAAGATCAGTGCCTCCACCTGTAGCCTGTTGCCTACAGTGTTGTATAACTAAACAAGCACTGGGCTGGGAGACCAAGGAGCCCAGCTCTGATCCTAGGTCTTACCCTATCTCATTTTATCACCCAATATGGACCCATTGATCTTTCCATGGTTTACTTTCTTTCACTAAGAAAATGAAGTATTTGAACTCATTAATTCAAATTATCTACGGCTTAATACTGCTAACAGTCTGTGAAGTGCCCTATGGATTATTTTTATTTACAGAAGAAGACATTTTCTAAAGATGTTAGTCATGTGAGTTTAAGAGAGTATTTTTATACTGAGTTCCACATAAAAGAACCTTGCTAGATCTTTCCATTGAATGAAGGGTATGAATGGAGGATATCTTAAGAAGTATTTTAAAATAAGAATATTCAAAACTCTGACATTATCTATGTTCTCTCTATAAATATCAGGCCATAGTTTTCTTGCCTCAGGGAAAGCTTAAAAAACTTCAGTCAACCACCACATATATCATTTGGTTAACATAATTCGGCATTACTGTGGTGTGTGAACATTTCCTCTCCCCTAAAGGCTGTGGCAGCAGCACTGCAAGCTCTTCTATTCTCTCCCCTTCAGCTGGGCACCAGAGCTATGATCATGACCATTCATCCCATTCATCCTGTGGTCACACAGCTATTCACAGTCAATTCCCTCTCTCACAACATCTCCATCGATCTCAAAACACTTGGGGAAATCTAGGAAATGGTGTTCTTCAAAAGGCAAAGAATGGAACTGCACACTTTAAGTCTTCAAACAACCTCAGGAAACTTTTAATTGAATGACTTTGTTAAAATCACAATCTATCCAAAAATACCACCTATAATCAGCCTTACTGACATTGAGGTAACTATGTTTTCTTGAATTAACAATCGTCTCTTTGCAACATATGAAAAATACTATTAATGACAAGAAGGAAAGTCGTGTAAGTTGTAAGAAGAAAATTCAATTTGCCTTAGGTGATGGTCATTTGTAAAATATTTCTGTCATACCCACAATGAAAGCCATCAATGTTTAAAGCTTAAAACCCATACAGAGAGTTTAGAGAGGCTCCTTATTCTACATAGTTCATCCTTGCTACCACACATCTGCCACTTTGCTCTCACAACTCCCATCTTTGGGACCAAAGCCTTCATTCTGCTCCTAACTTCCATCTCCCGAGGGGCTAGAATCCTATTATGAAAACCGTTGAGCCCCAACCACAAGTACGTGCCAGAGATATAGAATTCCCCTTATTAAAATCCACCATTAAGATGTCAAAAGTACGGAGAGTATATACCATTTCTCTGTATGCTTTTAGTCTCATTTATATGTACATGGAGCCAATCTTATTTTATAGATGCTTATGCAGTTTGAATATGCATGCGCAAATGGGAATAATGAATCAATTATTTATCAAAAATATTATTGGTCTATTTATGAAGTACTGTACCATGATTAGTGAAGACATTATTACTGAAAGTAGAAATCTATTTTTGAAAATGCACTCCATAAAGATTGAACAAAGTTTTAAAATGCTCCAGGGAAAAATAAAATTAAAAGGAACTTAATATTTTCCCAGTCAATATGTCTCTTGAGATGAATATAAAGTTTGCAAAGATCTATGCAGCCCTTTAAAAAAAACCTGTTACATTTACAATTGAAACAATATTGAGTTGAAAATATGTTTATGAAGAAGTTTATACTTCAAAATCACTATTCGGTGTCTTGCTTGTTTAAGAAAAAAAAGTCTTGATGCAAAGGAAGAGATGATATGCTTTGTTTCATGCCTGAGAACCAGTGTGCTTATTTCATATGTATGTAAATTTTTTTCATTACATGATTCTTTGCTTATGAGTACTTAATCACAGCCACATTTGTTGGATGAAGAAGACATATGAAAAACTGCATGGGCTATTTCTATGCAATATTACATTTCAGGTGAGTGAAGAAAATACAATACTTTATGCTATTAACACTATATGGTGAGTTTGGATTCAATATTACCTGGTATACAGGTGATGTTAACCAATATTTGGATGATGTTGACACTGACAGTCTAACACATACAAAATGCCCAACTGTAATTTTGGTTCAATTTTCATTTGGGGTTAAAAATATTACTCACACATACATACACACGAGTTTATTTCTAGACAAAAAAGAAAATGATAATATTGATACATTGTCTAATAAAATCCACTAAAAGCAAACCCAGTAATCTCACTATCTGATTTAGACTGCAACATGGTATACCAGGTATTTCTTTCAATTTCACAATAGTGGGATACTTTTTACACTGATTGTAAATGTCTCTTAAAAAAAACACACACACACACACATTACCTCCAAAAAAATTTTTTAAAATCTCCGAGTAAAAAATTTAAGAAAGATAAGATTCAAAATTTAAAGAATGATACAGCTTATTAATTTTGAAAATAACAAAAACTAAATTAAAAGGAAAATGGGACAATGAAGTGTTATAGAAACTCTAAGTCATCTTAAAAATTTCCAGAAAACACATTAGAATCAATATTGATTAAAATATGATTATTAAATGCTAAAAGGTAACATTTTTACATTTTTTATTAATATCAGTTAAAAAACAAAATTCTACTCAATTCTTAAGCTAAAGTGTTCTTGCTGTAATTTCATTGCCATTCTCTTGTTGTTCTTCCCATAAAAATAAATGGCTGGGTCAGAAGTGAAATGACATGTGTTCCAGTGTTTTCTGTCATTCAGTAATTATGCATTACCATTATGTCCAAAGATTGCCTTCTAGTTACTTTCTTCTAGAGTTGCTCAAAATGGGCCTTGTGACTCTACAATGAGAGTTTCAAGGGATGATGTCAGAGGCCGATACTCCTTGGAGGCAGCAGGGTGAGATTAGTCACGCCTCACTTTTTTCCCCATGTCTTGGTCCTATGGACATTCTGTTCATTTCCAGTATCAGCCAGCTCATCAGACAGGCCCTCCTTTTCCTTTCTCCATTTGACTATTTAGGTTTCGTATTTATTTTGAGAGCTTTTTCCCATGAGAATGAATTGCCCAAGCAGACCCTATGTACATCAATGAGCCAACAGATGATTTTCTTTGCAACTGCAATATCAGTAAGATTAGCATTCTGTATGGTTTTAAGTCAGTGATTTACTCTGCTATGGCTTGACATAGCTCCTGCCCTTTTCTACAGATACACACAGACTCATTTCTGTAAAGATCAGTGCATAGGCATATTTGAAACCAATGTTTAGCGCTGTGCTAAATTAATCATATAGATTATTTTTAAAATCTTTATAATAACTCTAGGAGAAGGGTATCAAGAAACATATATTTGTATGGAGATAAGGGACCAATCATATTCATTAGGTTTGTTATTTTTTTTTTTTTTTAGATAGAGTCTCACTCTGTCACACAGGCTGGAGTACAATGGCATAATCTCGACTCACTGCAACCTCCACCTCCCGGGTTCAAGCGATTCTCCTGTCTCAGTCTCCTAAGTAGCTGAGATTACAGGTGGCTGTCACCTTGCCTGGCTAATTTTTTGTGTTTTTAGTAGAGATGGGGTTTCACAATGTTGCCTAGGCTGGTCTCGAACTCCTGACCTCAGGTGAACTGCCCGGCCGCGGCCTCCCAAAGTGCTGAGATTACAGGCATGAGCCACCACGCCCAGCTAGTTAGGTTTTCTTAATGGAAAGAAATGAAATTCTTTCAACCCTGTTAGAATATATAGCAGGATTAGAGGTAACTGATAAGACATTGTGCCAAGTAAAATACATATACTTCCTATCATTGTTTGCCTTACAGCTGAAAAACACCTAAAAAAACTTACCTAGCTTCATGAAGGAGATATACATTCAAAGTATAACCATTCTTTCATTATTAGCTGACACACTATTCTTTGTCTAAAGATTTACCGTGTAAATATATTCTTAGTCAAACACGATTCAGTTATTAAATTTGTTTGTAGCATGGTAGCACTTCTGTGGCACTGTAATAACTTTATGCTGTAAACTAGACCCTTTAATACTCGGTCAGCAGTTCCTTTCTAAGCATCATTGCCATGGCCACTAACATTATCATTAGCCTTTAGTATCTACTATTATCTAAGACTGTGTGTTTTGTACCAAAAACACAAAGTTCCAGAAAACAATGTTCCTGGATAAAGGCTCAGGGTTTGTTTTCTATGTGTCAAATGAGTGGAAACTTACTTAAGGAAGAGAGAAAAGGCATCTGGCTTTCATTTAGCACCTTGAGTCAAGCTCTATGCTAAATTATTCATATACATTATTTAAAAATCTTTACAATAACTCTATGAGATGGGTATCAATAAACACATATTACAGTTGAGGAAGTTGATGTAAGAGATTTCAATTTAGTAATCCAAGATCACATTGCAACCAGAAGGTAAAGGCTGGAACATGAATCTAAAACAAATGGACTCCAAAGACTGTATTTTCCAATCCTGTGTAGCTTTGCCAATTAATATTAAATTGTCACCAACTCTCTCATTTTATGAGAATAAAAATGTGAGTCTCATTTTATTGAACCTCTTCTTTAAGACATTTTCTATATTTTTAATTATCGTTTGTGGCTTTCCTATAAATCCTACACAAGTTTTATATATTTATCTAAATCTGTCTAATTCACAACTTAAGACAATTATGACAAAGATCTAAGAAAAGCAAATAATACCTTTGAAATTACAGAACTTTACAGAAGAAAATATTTTTACCAATTATTTAATTTAACCCCCTTATTTTATAAATTAAAAAAAACTGTACCCAAAGAGTTCATATAACTTATTACCAAGAAATTTTCTATTAAAGACTCTTGTTTTCTAATTCCGGATACATGGTATGAAATTGGTTCATTTAATTCAGTCACTTAATCATTCAATGCATATCTATTTCAGATTTTCCACATAGAAACACATTGTTGTGAGCATCAGAAAAAATGAGGCACCATAAGAAGATATGGTATTTGTAGACTTAGTGGGATAATAGGAGATGAAAATTGAAGCGCATGCTGTGTGCTCCTGGTATATGCTGATAAACTGATGTAAAAAGCTCTAAAACAGTGGGGCGCGGTGGCTCACATCTGTAAGTGTGGCTCCGAGCACTTTGGGAGGCCGAGGCGGGCAGATCACCTGAGGTCAGGAGTTCAAGACCAGCCTGGCCAACATGGTGAAACCCCGTCTCTACCAAAAAAATACAAAAATTAGCTGGGCATGGTGGAGGGTCCCTGTAATCCCAGCTACTCAGGAGGCTGAGGCAGGAGAATCGCTGGAACTGGGGAGGCGGAGGTTGCAGTGAGCCGAGATCGCACCACTGCACTCCAGCCTGGGTGACAAGAGCGAAACTCCATCTCAAAAAAAAAAAGTTCTAAAGCATCTGTTCTCCACCTATTACTTTGCATTTCATTCACCTCACACCAGCATCTTTGCTTCTCATTGAATATTCTAAGCTCAGTCCATCTTCAGGGCCTTTGCACTATCTGTCCCTTCTGTGTAGAATTACTTTCCCCTAGGTAACCACATGATGAGTATTCTTATTTCCTTCAGCTATCTGCTCAAACATAACTGTGCCACACAGGGCTTTTGTTATCACCTTATGTAAAATAACATATTTTGTAACAATTGTTTGTTTCCTGTTTCTACCCTAAAAGCTCCATGAGGGTAGAGCCTTGGGCTGTCTCAGGACTTAGCACATTGCCTAACACATAGCAGGAGGTTAATAAATGTTTGCTGAATATGTCAATGAATAAAACAGGAGACATATTTGAAGATCAAATTTAAGATAGTTCCAAGAAAACTTTAGTAGTAGTTATGAAAACATTGCCTTTATTAACCCTTTCTATGCTACAGTTTAACATCTGCTAAAGGAACTTGTGTAATGTGTTTTGCAAATTACAGAGAAAATGCTGATGTGTTGTAGGGTTTCTGCACATTCACAACATCCCACTAAAAATTATTTTGAATATGATTCTATAGACAATCACTCTCACACCAAGAAATAATTTGGGACATTAATTCTGATTTTTCAGTTTAAATGATAGCAAGGTTGCATATGCCCATGTGCTAAAAGAAGTAGACATTATATTTATTACTCTCCTGGCACTGATTATCTTAATAGGATTCATTATTGATATATCAAATTATTTATTAAAGCCATCTAACTCACTAATGTTTTCCTATTTTCTTCCTCTACAAATTATTAAAATTATTCATCACGTCCTGTTAAATAGGACATTAGTCTATTACATAAGCATCATAGGCTTCCAAGGACTAAGTCTCAGTTCTCATAGTAAGCCCATATTATTTACTAATCAAATAACTAGTATGTTTTTCAGTTCATTTCCATCAAGGCCTTGGATATTTTATTTGTATTCCACCTTCCCCTTTATAGTCACTGTTTAGTGTTGTTTATATTTACTAAAAAGAAAAGTAAAGAAGCAAAGAAAAAAAAGAAGGAGAGGAGAGGAGAAGAGGCAAACAGGGAGGGAAGGAAGGAGAGAGGGTAAGAAGGGAGGGAGGGAGAGAAGAAAAGAAAGGTCAAGTAGGTAAGAAAAGATCAGGCCCAGCAATTCCATGTGGCCAGGACTTCTACAGTAGAGCAGAACCATTCCTGTGCTGCCCAGAAGGTACCACTAGTCACTGCTCACTGCTCACCTGGCCCTGCCCACAGGTAGCCAGCTTTTCCTCATGATAGGAATTACCCAGAGCCCTTGTTAAAGTGTGATTCCCACACCTTCCTATGAAGATTCTAGTTCAATAGATTCGAGATAAGGGGGTCCTGCAAACTGTCCTTAACAGGACTAGATCAATGATTATCAAACTCTGCACTGGAGTCACTGGGAGGGCTGGTTAAAACACAGATTGCCCCACCCCAGAGCTTCTGATTCTGCAGGTCTGGGGTGGAGCCCAAGAATTCGCACTTCTAACAAGCTCCCATGTGGCACTGATGTTCCTGGTCAGGAAAATCACACCTCGAGAACCATTTTACTAGATCATTCCTATAACCAGGTGAATTTGGAAGAAATCACCACTGTAGCAAATTTCTCTGAAGCTGTCATTGGAATGACGTATTATGTTTTTATCTAACCCTGTAATTACCCTGATTTAGATGTCACCAATAATTTTCTATGAGTCAGAAATCAGTTTCAAACACATCTCTGTGAGCTCGATACAGAGAGAAATAAAGGAGTCCAATGTGCTGCTCTTTCTTTATCAAGGTAAAAACACTAGTTTAAGCCATGTGGATGCTGCCAAAATGCCTAGAGTGTATACTATAAAGAGTTAATACAATAACAAATCAGGATAAAGAAGCCTATTCAAAGAACACAGACAGCTTTCAATGTCTGTATTCCTGGGTCAGACTCAGGTCTCTGGTATGTCACCACATAGCACCTATTGGAATGAGCAAGAGCTAATTTTTTAAAAGCTGATTTAGACACGCCTATTATTTAGAGATCCAAATTGGGCCACTGGGGCTTTAGGAATGGTACTTCGCAGCTCAGTGCAGCCACTATAAACTCAAGCCGGTTGTATCACTACTTTCCATGAGGAATTTAAGGGGTGTGACTGCATCCTTTCCAACCCTACATTCCACATGTGACAAAACCGATCCAGCTGTTTGTCTGAAAGAAATTCCTCACTGTCCTTAAATATTAAAAAGCAAGTGGATATCCATCCTCAGGGGCAAGTCTCCAGCTGGAACCTGGTACAGGCAGTTGCGAAACAAAGACAGTGCCCTGGAGAACATCTGCTTTTGAATTCTTACCTCGCCATAGGGGGGTTAGCCCCATCTTGCTTTTTGAAATGGCAGATTCTGGATGGAGGGTGATGGCTTGGCCCAAAGCTCTTGAGAAGTGTTCATCCACTACTGACCCAATGTCTCCCTGGAAATAAGTGAAAAGGACACAGCGAGAGTTAAGGTACTCCATCTCGGCAGGCTGGTCTTTCTCCTCCTCCTCCTCCTCCTCATCCTCCTCCTCTTGTTTGCTGGGAAGGGTGACTTCCAGAGAGTCCTGCATCTTGCTGAATACCGCTAACTTCTTCTGGGATGGAATAAACAAAACACAGTATCAAAGACAGTTTGTAGAAAAGCATTCACTAGTTAAGTTTTCACTTTTTTAAAAAAAGAATCTAAATATTAACATATGTTTGCAAACTGATTCTTCTTCATCTGTTTTACTCCATCTTTTTCCTCCCCAAACCAGTTGCCTCCTTCCCACACTAAAAAAAATACAACAAAAACTCTGTGATTCTACATTTGGCAAACGAACATAAAAGCCCATTATCAAATAGTATATTTTCAATACAAGATTTTGTTTTTGCTTTTGTTTTTGTTTTGCTTTTTGTTTTTTCATCTAGCTAGGCCAACAGGAGAATTACTTTTTTAAAAAGTTTTTCTTCCCAGTTTTGGTTTATTTTTAAAAATGCAATGTACAGCAGTGTTATGGTTTAGGACAGAGAGGAATGACTGTCTGGGGGTGGAGTGGAGAAGAAAAGAACTTTTCATAAATAAAATAAACTAAAATAAAAACAGGAATGTAGCATCTTATAAAAGGATTTGGCAGATGTGCTGAACTCATGTCTTCAAAAATCAAACTAAAATGGCAAAATAAGTCTGTGTGAAGATGCATTTTGCATGGAACATATTTTTTAGATGTTCCGTTTACCACCATTATCATGAGGGGAAAAGATTTCATTATGGCTTAGTGAAAATATTACAAAATACTAGTAGTGGGTTAATCTTTCAATTAAAAATGAGAAAGATTTGTTAATTTAAAATGTTTAAAAATATAATTCTAATAATAATATACATTATTTCAGACATGTTTCTAAAACTTTATATTTATCACCTCACTTAATCTTTACAATTCTATAACATGGCTATTAATACTATCCATATTGTAAAGATTAAAAAGCTAAAGCACAGAAAAATTAAG